>NC_000006.12:17332727-17484242 GCF_000001405.40 Homo sapiens
AAGCTCCGCTTCCCGGGTTCACGCCATTTTCCTGCCTCAGCCTCTCGAGTAGCTGGGACGACTACAGGTGCCTGCCACCATGCCCGGCTAAATTTTTTTTTGTATTTTTAGTAGAGACGGGGTTTCACAATGTTAGCCAGGATGGTCTGGATCTCCTGACCTCATGATCCGCCCACCTTGGACTCCCAAAGTGCTGGGATTACAGGCGTGGGCAACCGCGCCCGGTCGAGGTGTGGATTTTTAAAAAAAATTATCCTGCTTGAAATTTTATAGGAGTCCTTAGTCTAAGAATTGTTATCTTTTAGTAATTCTGTTCTCAGCTCTGAACATTCGTCTCTCAAAATATTTCCTCCTCCCATTCTCTCTCTGTCTTTCAAAACTCTGATTTGAGGCATGTTGGACCTCCCTTTCTATCTTCCTTGACTCTTCTTTTTTTTGAGACGTAGTTTCGCTCTTGTTGCCCAGGCTGGAGTGCAATGGCGCAGTCTCGGCTTAGTGCAACCTCTGCCTCCCGGGTTCAAGCTCCTGCCTCAGCCTCCCGAGTGGCTGGGATTACAGGCGCCCGACACCACACCCAGCTAGTTTTTTGTATTTTTAGTAGAGACGGGGTTTCGCCATGTTGGCCAGGCTGGTTCGAGCTCCTGACCTCAGGTGATCCACCCGCCTCGGCCTCCCAAAGTGCTGGGATTACAGGGGTGAGCCACCGCACCTGCCCTCTTCCTTGATTCTTTTATTTATTTATTTATTTATTTATTTATTTATTTATTTATTTATTTTTGAGACGGACTCTCACTTTGTCGCCCAGGTTGGAGTGCAGTGGCGCGATCTCGGCTCACTGCAAGCTCCGCCTCCCAGGTTCACGCCATTTTCCTGCCTCAGCCTCTCGAGTAGCTGGGACTACAGGCACCTGCCACCACGCCCAGCTATTTTTTTTTTTTTTTTGTATTTTTTAGTGGAGACGTGGTTTCACCATGTTAGTCAGGATGGTCTCCATCTCCTGACCTGGTGATCTGCCCGCCTAGGCCTCCCAAGGTGCTGGGATTACAGGCGTGAGCTACCGCACCCGGCCCTTCTTCCTTGACTCTTAACCTCTTCCTATGGTGTCTATCTCAGCCTCTCTGAGCTTCAGTTTGAATATCTTCTAGTTAACTAATAACTCTCTTCAGTTTCTAATCTGCTTGCTCATCATCGACTGAGTTTTAAACTTATATTACTCTATTATGCTTATTATGTATTTATTCATTCAATATTTATTTACTGATTTATTTACTTTTAGAGACAAGGTCTTACTCTCGTCTCCCAGGCTGGAGAGCAGTGGCATGATCAAAGCTCACTGTAACTTCGAACTTCTGACCTCACGCAATTCTCCTGCCTCAGCCTCTGGAGTAGCCGGTACCACAGGCGTGCAACACCATGTCTGGTTAATTTTTGAATTTTTTGTAGAGGTGAGATCTCACCGTGTTGCCCAGGCTGGTCTCGAACTCCTGGCTTCAAGCCATCCGCCCACCTTGGCCTCACTAATTGCTGGGGTTACAGATGTGAGCCACAGCTCCTGGCCATAAAATTTTTAATTCTAGATGACTTTTTAATCTAATCTGCTTCATAAAATTTTAGTCTTTATTTCTTAGGATGATAAGTCTTTCATATTTATTTAAACACATTAAACATATGCTGTCTGATGATTCAAATACCTGAGGTCAGCTGGGCGTGTGACTCATGCCTGTAATCCCAGGATTTTGGAGGCCAAAGTGGGTGGATCGCTTGGGGTCAGGAGTTCGAGACCAGCCTGGCCGACATGGGAGAACCCCGTCTCTTACTAAAAATACAAACAAAAAATTAGCCAGAAGTCATACCACACACATGTAATCAGAGCTACTTGGGAGGGGGAGGCAGGAGAATCGCTTGAACCCAGGAAGTGGAGGTTGTGGTGAGCGAAGATTGTGCCACTGCACTCCAGCCTGGGTGAGAGTGAGACTCTGTCTCAAAAAAAACAACAACAACAAAACAAAAAAACAAAACAAAAAAAACCTGAGGTCTTTGTGTGTTTTTTCAATTCATTGTTTCCGCTGGCTCCCATTTATGGCCACTTTTTTCCTTATATTCTGAGGGATTTGTGCTTGTGAGCTCCTTCTCCTCTGAGAATCCTTTAAGAGGATCCTTTGGGCCTTGGGTTGAACCAGCATTCTTCTTGCACTTGTTTATCCCAGTTGCCTTATAGGCACTAATAACCGAGGACGATTTAAATTAAATGTTTCCTTTGGGGTAATATGAATTAGTTTTTGCCTTCCATTGACTTCTATCAAAATTAAGACTGGCACATTTCCATACCTTCTTTTCTTCCATTAATTTATCATGAAAACTTTTATTTTTTCTCACCTATGTATTCATCCCTCTATTCATCCATCACTCCATTATGTTTTTTGGTGCATTTGAAAACACAAGTGACCCCTAAGCCCTTCAGCATACATATAATTAATCGAGTTAATATTTGTTTACAGTTTTTTTCTTTTGGGAGTATAAAATGTAAATGCAATGAAATGCAGTCTCTTTTTTTTTTTTTTTTTGATACAGTGTCTTACTCTGTCACCCAGGCTAGAGTGCAATGCCATGATCTCCGCTCACTGCAACCTCCACCTCCTGGGTTCAAGCAATTCTCCTGCCTAAGCTTCCAGAGTAGCTGGAATTACAAGTGCCCAGCACCATGCCCAGCTAATTTTTGTATTTTGTATTTTTCGTCATGTTGGCCAGGTGGGTCTCAAACTCCTGACCTCAGGTGATCTGCCCTCCTCAGCCTCCAAAGTGCTGAGATTACAGGCCTGAGCCACTGTGCCCAGACTGTTTTTTTTTTCTTGAGACAGAGTTTTATTCTGTCACCCAGGTTGAAGTGCAGTGGCATGATCTCAGCTCATTGCCACCTCCGCCTCCCAGGTTCAAGCGATTCTCCTGCCTCAGCTTCCCAAGTAGCTGGGACTACAGGTGTGCGCCACCATGCTCAGCTAATTTTTGTATTTTTTTTAGCAGAGACAGGGTTTCACCATGTTGGCCAGGCTGGTCTCAAACTCCTGACCTCAAGTGATCCGTCCACCTCAGCCTCCCGAAGTGTTGGAATTACAAGTGTAAGCCACAGCGCCCAGCCAGAATGCCCAAATCTTTTTACCTTGTAAAAGTTTGTCCTATGAAGATAATAGAACATCGACATAACCCCAGAAAGTCTTCTCATGCCCCCTCCCAGAGTCAGTCCCATGTCCCCTGCCTCCAACAACTAGAGGCATCAATTGTTCTGATGTTTTTTTGTTTTTTTTTTTTTTTGAGACGGAGTCTCTCTCTGTCGCCCAGGCTGGAGTGCAGTGGTGCGATCTCGGCTCACTGCAAGCTCCGCCTCCCGGGTTCACGCCATTCTTCTGTCTCAGCCTCCCAAGTAGCTGAGACTGCAGGCACCTGCCACCATGCCTGGCTAATTTTTTTTTTTTTTTTTTTTGGTATTTTTAGTAGAGATGGGGTTTCACCGTTTTAGCCAGGATGGTCTCAGTCTCCTCACCTTGTCACCCGCCTGCCTCAGCCTCCCAAAGTGCTGGGATTACAGGCGTGAGCCACCGTGCCTGGCAGCCTGTTCTGATTTTTTTCCTTCTTACTTTAGCTTGTTCTAGAATTTCATATAAATACAATCATACAGTCTGTGTTCTTTTGTGTGAGGTTTCTTTCATTCAGCATAATTTTTAAAAATTTGTCCATGTTGTTGTATGTATCAGTATCTCATTCCTTTTTATTGCTGGCTAGTATTCTATTGTGTATATATATACCACAGTTTGTTTATCCATTCTTGTGTTGATGAACACTTGGGCCCACTTCCAGTTTAGGGTTATTATAAACAAAGCGGCTGTGAACATTTCCATACAAGTCATTTTTTGAACATATGTTTTCATTTTTCTTGGGTAAAGACCTCAGAGTAGAGTTGCTGGGTCATAGGGTAGGATTATGTTTAATTTTATGGGAAACTGCCAGACCATCTTCCAAAGTGGTTATACTATTTTATACTTTTGTCAACACTGTATGGGAACGTCTGCTTTCTCTTTCTGCACTGTAGCTTTATTTCTCATTCACTCCTTCAGATGCATGCCTTTGAGAGCTGAGCTTTATATGGGGAGTTTCTAATCGACTCCCACATTGGGTGGGCCTGAGACTTCATTCCCTTCTTGTGTGCCCTAGGTGTCAATCAACATTTTGCTACAGTTCACTGTAATTGAGAAAATACCCTTAGGATAAAAGCCAGTTTCAGGAATATGCCTCCTAGGATTCCTGTTTTTATTTCATTTTGGCATTTGCAAATTCTTCACGTGTTTGCCAGATCTTTGAAATGTTAAAAATATATAATTATTCATAATTTTTCGTTGTTTTCCATGAAAGAGTCATTTGAGAAATCTAGTCTGCCATGCTGTCATAATGGGAAGTCTGAAGAATATACTTTTGAAAAGTAGATCAGGCCAGGCACAGTGGCCCATGCCTGCAATCCCAGCACTTTGGGAGGCCGAGGTGGGCAGATCACTTGAGGCCAGGAGTTCGAGACCAGCCTGGCCAACATGGCGAAACCCCATCTCCACTAAAATACAAAAATTAGTGGGCATGGTGGCGGGCACCTGTAATCCCAGCTACTCGGGAGGCTAAGGCAGGAGGATCACCTGAACCAGGGAGGTGGAGGTTGCAGTGAGCTGAGATCACTCCACTGCACTTCAGCCTGAGCAACAGAGCAAGACTCCGTCTCAAAAAAAAAAAAATAGATAAGATCATCTCCTACCTCTGATTAAAGTTTTCTGATGGTTTCATCTGGCACTTAGAACAAAACTTCAGCTTCCTGGCAGGGTGTGGTGGCTGACACCTGTAATCCCAGCACTTTGGGAAGCCTGGGGGGGTGGATCACCCGAGATCGGGAGTTCGAGACCAGCCTGACCAACATGGTGAAACCGCATCTCTACTAAAGATACAAAAAATTAGCCAGGAGTGGGGGCACGCGCCTCTATTCCCAGCTACTTGGGAGGCTGAGGCAGGAGAATTGCTTGAACCCAAGAGGCAGAGATTGCAGTGAGCCGAGATCATGCCATTGCACTCTAGCCTGGGTGATAGGGTGAGACTCCATCTCAAGAAAAAAACAAAACAAACAAAAAAACACAAAAAAACCTCAGCTTCCTATTTTGACCTTTATGATATGACTTATGCTTACTTCTAGGTCATCTTAAAACATTGCCCTCTTGCTACGTTCTTCTTGCTGATCCGCAAACACACTTACCTTCTCTCCATCTTGGGGCAATAATTCCTCCATGAAGCTGCCTCTGTTTCATCTTTAATGCTTCAGAGAGACTTTTACTGACTTTGCCACCAAAAGTAGACCTCCCCCGATACCACTCCTTATCCCAATAGTCTGTATTCTCATAGCTCTTATGACCATAAGAAATTGTGTTACTATTTACCTATTTATTTGTTTGTTGTCTGTCTTGCTCTCTAAGAGAATGTAAATTCTATGAGAGCAGACACTGTTTCTTTCATTTCACTGCTGTTTCCCCAGTACCTAAAATTGCACTTGTAACTTAGAAGGGACTCGATGAACAGTTGTTAAATGAATGAATTCTGTAGCGACTAACCTTGCACACATATATAACATATATTTATGAACTGTAAGTGTAGTCATGCCTGAATATGTAAATATTAATTTTTTTTTTTTTTGAGACAGTCTTGCTCTGTCACCCAGGCTGGAGTGCAGTGGTGCAATCTCAGCTCACTGCGAGCTCTGCCTCCTGGGTTCATGCCATTCTCCTGCCTCAGCCTCCCAAGTAGCTGGGACTACAGGTGCCCGCCACCACGGCTGGCTAATTTTTTTTCTTTTTTTAAGTAGAGATGGGGTTTCACCGTGTTAGCCAGGATGGTCTTGATCTCCTGATCTCATGATCCGCCTGCCTCGGCCTCCCAAAGTGCTGGGATTACAGGCATGAGCCACCGCGCCCAGCCTAAATTTTTATTTTAAAGAATAAATTGCTCTGTGTTTATGTGTCCTTTACATGGTATTATTGGAATTCTTAAAGAATTTATATGTGTATAGGCGTACCTCGAAGATGTTGCAGGCTCAGTTCCAGACCTCTGCAATAAAGATACCGCAATAAAGGGAATATTGCAATAAAGCAAGAGTCACACACATTTTTTCTTTTCCAATGCATATAAGAGTTATGTTTACACTATACCATAGTCTATTAAGTGTGTAATAGTATTATGTCTAAAAAAAACCAATATGGGCCAGGCACGGTGGCTCACGCCTGTAATCTCAGCACTCTGGGAGGCCGAGGCCTGTGGATCACCTGAGGTCAGAAGTTCAAGACCAGCCTGGTCAAACGGTGAAACCCCGTCTGTACTAAATGTGCAAAAATTAGCCAGGCATGGTGCTGGGCACCTGTAATCCCAGCTACTTGGGAGGCTGAGGCAGGAGAATGGTGTGAACCCGGGAGGCAGAGGTTGCAGTGAGCCGAGATTGCGCCATTTGCGCTTCAGCCTGGGCAACAAGACCGAAACTTCGTCTCAAAAAAACAAAACAAAGAACAATGTACAAACCTTAATTTAATAATGCTTTGTTGCTAGAAAAAATTCTGGCACAGAGACATAAAATGAGCACATGCTGTTGGAAAAATAGCATTGATAGGCTTGCTCAACACAGGTTTTCCACAGTCCTTCAATTTGTAAAAAGTGCAGTATCGCAAAGCACAATAAAGCGAAGAGCAATAAAACAAAGGTGTGGCTGCATATTACCTATGCATTGCAGAAGTTATACTAAGTATTTATTTTAAAAGGAAATGCTGGTTTTCAAAGGGTTGAGAACCACTGTCCTAAGTGTTGATGATTCTCTATCCTCCAAGCACCAACCCATATTTGTCTGACATTCTACTGGACAGCCTACCCTCAGCTATTGCATGGCATTCTAAGTTCAACATCTCCAAAACAAAACTCATGATCTGACTCCACAAAACTTCCTCCTTGTGCTTGGCTCCCAGGTGTTATGCTTTTGCCTACTATCCTCATGCCCACCATCATTTAATCAGTTGTCAAATACTATCCTTATACCTGCTTGACACCACTTGCAATTGTCTATTCCTTTTCTTCTCCATTACCATGTTGTAGTTTACATGCTCATCATCTTGCCCCTGGTACCTTGCAACATTTTCCTCTGGAGTCTTCTGCTGCCCTTATGCCACTCTTATTTACTCTGTAAATAGCATTTATAGTATGTATATCAAATAACGCACAGCCTGTTGTGGGACTTTTCAGCCTCAATAGTCGCATGAGCCAATTCCCCTAATAAATCTGTCATCTATCTATCTATCTATCTATCTATCTATCTATCTATCTATCATCTCTCTCTCCATCCATCTTTCTATTTATGTCCTACTAGTTCCGTCTCTCGAAAGGCCCATTACTAATACAGGTTTTGTTACCAGGAGTGGTACTAGATGAACAGAATTTTCTTTTTTTTGAGATGGAGTTTCACTCTTCCTGCCCAGGCTGGAGTGCAATGGCGCAATCTCTGCTCACTGCAACCTCCGCCTCCCAGCTTCAAGCGATTCTCCTGCCTCAGCCTCCCAGCTAGCTGGGATTACAGACTGCACCACTGCACCTGACTAATTTTGTATTTTTAGTGGAGATGGGGTTTCTCCATGTTGGTCAGGTTGGTCTCAAACTCTCGACCTCAGGTGATCCACTCGCCTTGGCCTCCCAAAGTGCTGGGATTACAAGCGTGAGCCACTGTGCCCCGCCGAGGAACAGAATTTTAAGGATAAGTTTCCTTAATTGGTCCGGGGGTTTCTGGAAGCGGCTCTTTAGTTTGAGTAGACCTAAAAATGCTAGGGACTCTACTTCTACTTGTACAGAGGGCACTGATAGTCCATGGCATGAACAGTTTTAGAGATACGCAAAATAAATGCATTTGATACTCATAATTTACTACTTATAAGAGGCAAAGAATTTAATGACTCTATACATAATATTCTCAAACATTTGTGGAAACACCAAGGAATATAATTGTGTCCGGAATTGGTTCCTGCCGGTGGGTTCTTGGTCTTGCTGACTTCAAGAATGAAGCTGCGGACCCTCGCGGTGAGTTTTACAGTTCTTAAAGATGGGTGTCCAGAGTTTTTTCCTTCAGATGTTCAGATGTGTCTGGAGTTTCTTCCTTTTGGTGGGTTCATGGTCTTGCTGACTTCAGGAGTGAAGCTGCAGACCTTCACAGTGAGCGTTACAATTCTTAAAAAGGGCGCATCAGAAGTTGTTCGTTCCTCCTGGTTGGTTTGTGGTCTCACCAGCTTCAGGAGTGAAGCTGCAAAGCTTTGTGGTGAGTGTTACAGCTCATAAAGGTAGTGTGGACCCAAAGAGTGAGCCGCAACCAGATTTATTGTTAAGAGCGAAAGAACAAAGAGCAAAAGAACAAAGCATCCCAAGCCTGGAAGGGGAGCAAAGCAGGAGCAGTTGCTACTGCTGGCTCAAGTGGCCAGCTTTTATTCCCTTATTTGGCCCCACCCACATCCTGCTGGTTGGTCCGTTTTTACAGAGTGCTGATTGGTGCGTTTACAAACCTTTAGCTAGACACGGAGTGCTGATTGGTGCGTTTTTACAGAGTGCTGATTGGTGTGTTTACAAACCTTTAGCTAGACACAGAGCACTGATTGGTGCATTTACAATCCTTTAGCTAGACAGAAAAGTTCTCCAAGTCACAACCCCACCCAGAAGCCCAGCCGGCTTCACCTCTCATAATGATGTTGGTTGGTTGCTCCTAGTGTCACTGGATAGAATGATGAAGGAATTGGATGATCTCCTGGAATGGATTTCCTGACTCCCAGTCCACATAAGTGACTTAAGAGTTTCTAGGTGTGTCCTGAGTCAGAATCTTCTCTCCTGTGACTACAGGTCTGAAATTGCCAAAAATCAAACACAAACCCTCATCACATGACTGGTTGAATTGCAAGGAAAGCTGAACTCTCAGCCTCACAGACTACCTACTGTTAAAGTGAGGGCATTGATTAGGAAACAGTGGAATTCTGCAAATTGTGATGAAGACCTGTAGGAAGACCCTGATGAACCTCATGAGTCTCATTGGCCAGAAGTGACCTCCCCATTTCTACTCCCACCCTCAGAGGCAGCAGTGTCCCCACACACAGTGGTATCAACCTTTCTGCTCCCTTTGAGGGGATTAACCGGAAATAGTAATGGCTTCCCCTGAAGCAGTAGCCATACAAGATAATGCTGATTCTCCTCAGGACCCAACCCCACCACCCTTTTTTGCTTCTAGAACTGTAACTAGATTCAAGTTTCATCAGGACCCTAAAGGCGAAATACCAAGTGTGAGTCAGGAGGAGGTGTGATACATTCCAAAAGGGCTACTTGAGTTTTCTAATTTATAAAGCAGAAATATGGAGAACACGTGGGGGAATGGATATTAAGGGTGTGGAATAATGGTGGAGGGAACCCACAGTTGGATCAGTCTGAAATTTATTAATATGAACCCACTAAGTAGAGATTCTGCATTTAATGTTGCAGCTCAGGAGTAAGAAAGGTGCTAACAGTTTGCTTGGCTGAAACATGGATCAAAAGACGTCCCATCAACAGCAAGTTAGAAATGGCTGATGTCCTGTGGTTTACCGTAGAGGAAGGGATTCAAAGGTTGATAATGCTAGAGTGAATTTGCCACGTGAAACCTCACCCACACTAGGAGGGCCCAGAAGACATACCTTTCACCAATGCCTTGAGAAATAGATTTGTAAGGAGAGCCCCTGAATCCCTGAAGAGCTCTGTGACTGCTCTTCTCTGTAGACCATACCTTACAGTGGGAACCGTAGTCACTTAATTGAAAAACATAAATGCAATGGTAATAATTAGATTCCAAGATGGTAGGTCCCAAGTGCTGGCACTCAATGGTCAAAGGCAATGTAGGGGTAGTTACTGTAAAAACAACAGAGGCAAGGCAACAATTGCCACCCTACCTACCTTTCTCTTTCTTAGATGGACAGAGATGACTCATGTAGTTCCTTTTATAAAAGAATCCACAGCCGGGCGTGGTGGCTCATGCCTGTAATCCCAGCACTTTGGGAGGCCGAGGCAGGCGGATCACGAGGTCAGGAGATCGAGACCATCCTGGTTAACTGGGTGAAACTCCATCTCTACTAAAAATACAAAAAAAATTAGCCGAGCATGGTGGCAGGCGCCTACAGTCCCAGCTACTTGGGAGGCTGAGGCAGGAGAATGATGTAAACCTGGGAGGCAGAGCTTGCAGTGAGCCAAGATCAAGCACTGCACTCCAGCCTGGGCGACAGAGCGAGACTCCATCTCCAAAAAAAAACAAAAAAGAATCCACGATCCCACTTCACTCTACCATCATAAACTAATCACCCTCTCATTAGGCCCTACCTCCCAACACTGTTGCATTGGAGATTAAGTTTCTAACACATGCTTTTGGAGGGACATTCAAACCTTAGCTCAGACTTAATGGAATCACTGAGTATCTGTCATGGGCCAAGTAATTTAAGCTTGGAAAACCCCCCAAAACACTACAATCCCTACTTAGTGTTGTGAAGCTCACAATCTTGTGAGAAAATGATGGTATCACAGAACGTTAGAGGTGGAAGAGACTTTTGAACTTTAATCCAGTCCAGCATTTTACAGAAGAGGAAACAGAGTAGAGGACACACCCTGAAGGCAAGTTGTAGTAGAACGGGACTAGAACCTAAATTCCCTGGTAGGAACACTAGGACACACACACACAAACACACACACTTGTGCCTGCACACACACAGAGAGTAAGAGAGTGCAATAAGTGCATACAGCCTTACTGGTTAGCCAGTAAATGAAACCCTATTTAAAAACTGGGAAATACAGCTGGGTGCAGTGGCTCACGCCTGTAATCCCAGCACATCGGGAGGCTGAGGCGGGCAGATCTCTTGAGGTCAGGAGTTCGAGACCAGCCTGGCCAACATGGTGAAAACCCATCTCTACTAAAAATACAAAAGTTAGCTGGGTGTGGTGGTGCGCACCTGTGGTCCCAGCTAATCGGGAGGGTGAGGCAGGATAATTGCTTGAACCCAGGAAGTGGAGGCTGTGGTGAGGTGAGATTGCACTCCAGCCTGGGCGACACAGTGAGACTTCGTCTCAAGACAAATAAATAAATAAATAAAATAATAAAAACTGGGAAATACCAGTGAAGTGATTGAGATCAATGTGCAACCTTGGATAAGTAACTTAAATTCTTTCTGCCTCTGTTTCCTCACTTATAGGGATGATAATGGCTACCTTTCAGGGTGTTCTGGGAAAGATCAATGATGTATGTAAAACACCCTATCAGCTAGGGATGCTTTTGGCTGCAAGGAACACAAAATCCAACTGATAGTGTTCTAAACAAATAAGGGTTGATTTTTGTCCTATTAAGAGCATGGAGGGGCTAGGCACGGTGGCTCACGCCTGTAATCCCAGCACTTTGGGAGGCCGAGTCGGGCGGATCATGAGGTCAGGAGATTGAGACCAGCCTGGCTAACAGAGTGAAACCTGGTCTCTACTAAAAATACAAAAAATTTAGCCAGGCATGGTGGCAGGCACCTGTAGTCCCAGCTATTCAGGAGGCTGAGGCAGAAGAATGGCGTGAACCTGGGAGGCAGAGCTTGTAGTGAGCTGAGATTGCGCCACTGCACTCCAGCCTAGGCGACAAAGTGAGACTCTGTCTCAAAAAAAAAAAAAAAAAAAAAAAGAGCATGGAGGTAGGTGGCTGCTGGCATTTATTAGTCCAGTGGCATGGGTCCCTGAAAGTTTCTTGGCCTTTCCTTTATGCTTGTGGCTTCATGATGTCCAAATAATGTAAAAGTTCCAGATGTCACGTTTGCATTCAAAGTAGGAATAAGAGGAAACGAAGAAAGACTCTCTAGGCACATCTATCCCTTGTCCTGGGGACAGTAGTTTCACCTAGACATGCCCCAGCAGGATTCTGCTTATGTCTCATGGACCCAGTGTCATCATGTCATTTCCCCTAGCTAGATGAAAAGCTATAGGAAGCTAAATATTTGGCTGTTAAGCCTCCGGAGTGGGGATGGCAAGGGAAAGGGGGTTGGGAATAGCTTTTTAGTAGCCAATGAATGGGACCTGCCATAAGAAACTATAATATAAGAGGCCTATTAAAGGGCAGTTTTTGGAATTTTAAGTAAACCTTTGAGGCTTGCCATGAACCTATCCAGACATTTTGACTTTCAACAATGAACTTTCATTGCAAAGAGTTAATAAGAAAGCATGAGCTTGTTTTGGTGTGCAGTTTGTAGCTCTTATCACTTACTTTTCACATTTTATGGATTTCTTGAAATTGCCCTGGGATTATGGGAATTTGGTGACTCAGGTCATGAACTCCATTATTTTGGCTTTAGCCTTCAAGGTAAAGATCTGATACTAAGCTGGTCTTTACATCTATTTTTAACATCTTGGATTTGGAGGTAAAGGCGATTGTATGGAACCCCAAAACACATTCAAGGTTGTGAAATAATGAAAATGTAAGTGGAGGCATGAAGATTCAATGTGTTCTTTATCATCCTTCGCAGCTTAAGTAAATGACTGACTATTCTCAGAGTCAAAAATAATTCAGGATTTAATTGGCAAAGGTATTTTAAGGTTCTGTCTTTTTCTATTTTTCTCCTGCCTTGGTAAAGCTATGAGTTATGTTGTAAGCACTGAGCATCTTGAAATAGTAGTTACTAAGACAACGTATTAAATTAAGAATTAATTGGATTTTTAAAAATTCTCCTGTGTGTACATACAAACATATTGGTATTATGGTTCTCATTTTACCTTGGCATAATATCCTCCTAAAGAGAAGCCCATATATCTTTGGATTCTGAAAATTATCATTTTCACACCTCCATAAGCAAATAGAATCCTTTTAACATATAAAGGATCTCCTTCCTAGGGAAAAGTTGCTTATTATATACTCGTTAGTAGGTCTCCAGGCTGGCTTCCACCAAATTTTAATAAATCATTGCATTTTCTATAAGTTGATTCCCCAGTTCCCATGATTATTTGCCAATAATGTCCAGGCATGTTTTCCGTATGCTTTCCTTAATTCATTATGAGCACATGAGATTCCTCTAAAGTGGTAAATTACGCATCTCAAATCTGAGCTCTGTAAGGGCTGGCAAGTGCTACTGATGATATGAACTACATAGTCCAGTATATTGTTGCAGTTGTCTATGGAAACAAATGTAAGCTTTCCTGTCAATGCAGAAGGTTAGGGCCAGAAGGCATCTTAAAGAGCACACAACACATCCTATTTATGTTACAAAGAATCAAAAGCATAGATTTTTGTGGGGTTTTTGTTTTGTTTTTTGTTTGTTTGGGGGACAAGGTCTCACTCCATCACCCAGGCTGGAGTGTATGATCTCAGCTCATTGCAGTCTCAACCTCCCCAGCTCAAGCAATCCTCCTACCTCAGCCTCTGGAGTAGCTGGGACCACAGGCACAGGCTACTACACCTGACTGATTTTTGTACTTTTTGTAGACATGGAGTTTCACCTTGTTGCCCAGGCTGGTCTTGAACTCCTGGGCTCAAGCAATCTGCCCACCTTGGCCTCCCAAAGTGCTGGGATTACAGGCATAAGCCACCGTGCGCCCAGCCTGCATATCTTTCAGTAGAGATAGTATGGAAATATGCTTTTCCCCATAGGCTTCATTCCCTACCTCTGCTGGATGTGAGGCACTATGCTAGATCTTAGGGATACAAAAAGGACTCCGATACGACCTTTCCCTAAAGAGCTCATGATCTTAGGAACCTGCAAGAGGAATGAGAAAGGTGAAGGGCCCTGATTTAGGTAGATGTCAACTCTGCCCATCTAAGGGAGAGAAAGGTAGGGAGGGTGGTGATTTAAATTAAATGAAGCCTCTCCTCTTGTTCATTCTGTCTTCTCTAAACAATCTTTAGCAGAAGGCAAAGTGATAGCTTTATGTTCAGAAGACTGAGAAAACAAATTTTGACTCAGCTATTTACCCATTTGCATCTCAATTTCTTTATCTGTAAAAAGGATGATAGTAATACCCATCCTCTAGAATTATGACAAGGTACATAGTAAAATAGAGCCCCTAACATGTGCGTTTTAGGGGGAGGAGAATGTACTATTCTCCAGGTGGACTTCAGTGAATTTGATTTTCCTTATGTTTATCCAGCCTAGTTTTTCTCCCTCAAACAATTTGTCCTTCAAGGCTAAGATAAAACTTCCATCAACACCCTTCCTCTTGTGCCTCTCAGATCTGGTGGCTTCCAGGGCTGCTGGCAACACAAACCCCTTAGAAATCACAAGAGTGAAGCATAGGTTAGGGGAGTGGGGTTGGGGTGGCTCAGTAGGGTGTGTGGAGTAGGGAGATGGAAAGAAGGTTGTATCTGCAATCACTGCAGGCTCCTCAGCTGTGATTGGGATGTGGCTTCCAGCTCTTCTGTCTATAAAACAGACGACTAATACAGAGCCTTCAGACTCAGCACTCGGTTTTCACTCCATCCTCACTTCTCATCTCCCACTATGAGGGCACAAACCAGGGCTTCTTTAGCATGGTTTAAGCAAGTGCCATGCCCTCCACTTAGAATAATTGGACACTTCATAATTCTTTTTTATTATAAATAATGATGATTCTCTTCATTATAGAAAGAATACATGTTATTTTTAATCAAAAAAATTGAAATACACTTTTTATTATTTTGAAGCTTCACCATCTTCTAAATGCAAGCACGTAAGTGAATTGTTGAAAGAAGTTTTGATTTTTTTTTTTTTTTTGAGACGGAGTCTCGCTCTGTTGCCAGGCTGGAGTGCAGTGGTGCAATCTCGGCTCACTGCAACCCCCACCTCCCAGGTTCAAGCAATTCTCCTGCCTCAACCTCCTGGGTAGCTAGGACTACAGGTGCCTGCCACCACACCCAGCTAACTTTTTGTATTTTTAGTAGAGACGGGGTTTTACCATGTTGGCCAGGATGGCCTTGATCTCTTGACCTCGTGATCAGCCTGCTTTGGCCTCCCAAAGTGCTGGGATTACAGGCATGAGCCAACGCGCCCGGCCGAAATATATATTTTTTTAATTAGCTTAGTGCAGTGGTGCGTGCCTGTAGTCCCAGCTACTTGGGAGCCTGAGGCAGGAGGATTGCTTGAGCCCAGTCGTTCGAGGCTACAATGAACTATGTTCTTGCCACTGTACTCTAGACTGGACAACAAACTGAGACCCTGTCTCTGAAAATAAAACATAAAAATAAATAAAGAAAAAATTAACAAAAAAGCAAAAAGTTTCTAGTTTAATGATTTGCTAAAATTAAATAGATAAATATCAATATTTCATCACCACTGTCTCATGAAAACTTTTTTTTTTTGGCTTAAGCTTTTAAGCATCACAATAATAATAGTTGTATTCGGAAGATTCATTTGCATCATGTCAGGTATGTTGGTTGGATATATATATTGTGTATATTTAGTGTGACATTATTTTTAATACCCACAAAGTTGGGAAACAGTGAATAAACATTATGTCAAGAACATTATTATTTTTTTTTTTTTGAGACGGAGTCTCCCTCTGTTGCCCAGGCTAGAGTGCAGTGGTGGGATCTCGACTCACTGCAACCTCCACCTCCCGGATTCAAGGGATTCTACTGCCTCAGCCTCCCGAGTAGCTGGGAATGTAGGTGCTTGCTACCACGCCTGGCTAATATTTTATATTTTTAGTAGAGACGGGGTTTCACTGTGTTAGCCAGGATGGTCTCAATCTCCTGACGTTGTGATCCACCCGCCTTGGCCTCCCATAGTGCTGGGATAACAGGCGTGAGCAACCATGCCGGGCAGGTCCAAGATTATTTTTAAAAGACATCTTGGGCCAGGTGCGGTGGCTCATGCCTATAATCACAGCACTTTGAGAGGCTGAGGTAGGCGGATGACGAGGTCAGGAGTTCAAGACCAGCCTGGTCAACATAGTGAAACCCCATCTCTACTAAAAATACAAAAATTAGCTGGGCATTGTGGCACATGCCTGTAGTCCCAGCTACTTGGGAGGCTGAGGCGGGAGAATGGTGTGAACCCGGGAGGCAGAGCTTACAGTGAGTGGAGATCGTGCCACTGCACTCCAGCCTGGGTGACAGAGCGAGACTCTGTCTCAAAAAAAAAAGACATCTTGGCCTGGCACGGGGGCTCATGCCTCTAATCTCAGCACTTTGGGAGGCCGAGGCAGGAGGATTGCTTGAAGCCAGGAGTTTGAGACCAGCCTAGGCAACACAGTGAGACTCAGTCTCTAAAAAAATTAAAAAATTAGCTGGGCATGCTGGCACACACCCATGGCCCCAGCGACTCAGGAGGCTGAGGAGGGAGGATCGCTTTAGCCTGGGAGGTCAAAGCTGCAGTAAGCTATGATCACACCAGTGCACTCCAGCGGGGGTGACAGAGTGAGACTCGTCTCAAAAAAAAAAAAAAAAAAAAGACATCTGAACTCACAAATCAACTCCATTGTGGAGGTGATCAAATTATAGAAGAAACATTTGCACACTTACCACTAGTTCTGTGGTCTTCTTTGTCTGTCTCTGGTGCTCCACCATATATCACTTTCTCAAGGATAAATGTGCACAGCTGAGACTTTGTCCTGCTCACACACTGAGATGTAGAATAGAGGAAATTATTCACGTGGGTCAGCTATTTGGGGCTTTTAAATGATCAGATTACTTATCTATAGAAAATTTTACCCTGAATTACCTAAATATCTGCCTTGGTGCTTTGATTCATTTTATAAGTGTACCCACAAGGGAAGATTGAGTCATAGTTAAAAGAATGTTTGTTTATCTGCTTATGTGGTACACTAAAACAGGGTGGCATCTTTATCCAAATCTGAGTTGCTTGGCAACTGAATCAGCTTTCCATTTCTAGTTAACCAGCTGTGAATGGAACCTTACAGAGTCCAAGAATCACACTAATACTCACGTATTCATGGGAGGCCTAGAACCAAGGTCAGTAACTGAGCTACAATCTCAATAGAATCTATATTTCCCGCATTTATTATTTAGAATTCATAGGCTCCCAGATTTGAAAGAGGTCTTACATGTATTGGAAAAGGCCTTACTTTTTTTTGAGATGGAGTATTGCTCTTTCGCCCAGGCTGGAGTGCGGTTGCGCGATCTTGGCTCACTGCAACCTCCGCCTCCCGAGTTCAAGTGATTTTCCTGCCTCAGCCTCCCAAGTAGCTGAGATTACAGGTGCCCACTACCACGCCTGGCTAATTCTTGTATTTTTAGTAAAGATGGGGTTTCACCATGTTGGCCAGGCTGGTCTCGAACTCCTGACCTCGTGATCTGCCCGCTTTGGCCTCCCAAAGTGCTGGGATTACAGGGGTGAGCCACCGTGCCCGGCCAGAAGAGGCCTTACATATTAATCTAAGTGCCATCCTGTAGTTAACTTCACTGTGGAGTTATGGGCCAACCTCGGCATGGACATCTGCCAATTTTAGTTCTAGCATACTCGAATTTTAACAGATGATGATGTTTCAAACTATTAACCATGTGCCTATTTCAACATTTTTTTGTTTTCTGATTTTTTAAAAGGACATCCATTATGTTTTCAGTGAAGAAAATCACTATTGCTTATTCCATCTTTGGACAGTTTTTACTCATAACAGTTATTCCTTATAATGGGACAAAATCTGTCTATTAATTCTCCCAGACAATCATAGTTTATCTCTTGGTGCCTTGTAGATCAAATGTAATACCCTTCCCATAAGACAGGTTAGCAATATGTTATCCTCATCTAAGTTTTTCATTCAGGCTAAATTTTCCCAATTTCTTCAATCAAACCTCATACATAGTGTCAAGTCCCTTCACTACTCTGATCAGTCATCTCTCAACTCAAATTCATTTTTGTGTGTTGTTTTTGAACCAGGACTCTGGAAGTAGAATGCAACCTTCCAGAAATGACAGAGTGAATTGGGACCATGTCCTAACTTGAAGAATACCATTCTCTTATGAATGCAACTCAAGATTGCATGACCTGCTTGATACAAACAATCTCTAAAGTTGATAGGTATTGGGTTTATTGAAGATGAAAACCTCTGTCACTTAAACATAGTCTCCTCCACCGTGTTCATACACTTTGGGATTTTTCTGGACCCAAAACAAGACCTTAAATTTATCCTGCTAAATTCCATTCTATTTAATTCTGTCCCTCGTATCAATATATCAAAATCTCTAGATTCTTTCCTACATATATCCTTTCTTTCAGCTTGGTGTCTTGCAAATATATGATGTGCCACACCTTTTATACATTTACCCAAGTAGATGACAAAAAAATTTAAGTAGATAACAAGGATAGTCTTATGCTAAGCCTTGAAACTTAATGCTAGTGATCCATTAATCTACCCCTTGATTATTGCCATTGAATCGGTTACTCATCCTTATGTCTAGCCCATAATCCTCTACTTCATGAGGAACAAACTATGAAGAACCTTATCAAATACCTTGCAGGAACCAGAAAAAGAGAAATAAAATATATTGGCTACCTCTTGCATTCAGTTATCTTTATATCACCTCATTTAATTAATTTGTGTTTTTTTAAACAAAGATCTAGTGAGTACTTATTATATGTCAGGTGCTATTCTAGGCTCTGGGTATATGCAGCAAAACTTCTTTTTTTTGGTATTATCATACATTCAAGTATCCTCATTTTGCAGAGTAAGAAAATGAGACTCAGAAATGTGAACTACCTCACAAAGTGAATATATACTGTAATAGCATCAGAGCCAGGATCCACACTTAACCATGTAAATTTCTTTTTCACTGATGGATTTCATCTCTGAGGTACACACCCACTGTAGCTACCTAATCCTCAACCACTTCAGTTTTTCAGCTTTTGCCTTCTATGCATAATACTTTTTTCTTTTTTCTTTTTTTTTGAGATGGAGTCTCACTCTGCCACCCAGGCTGGAGTGCAGTGGTGCGATCTCGGCTCGCTGCAAGCTCCACCTCCTGGGTTCAAGCAATTCTCCTGCCTCATCCTCCCAAGTAGCTGGGACTATAGGTGCATGCCACTGCGCCCAGCTAATTTTTGTATTTTTAGTGGAGACGGGGTTTCACCATGTTGGCCAGGCTGGGTCTCGAACTCCTGACCTCGTGATCTGTCTGCCTGGGCCTCCCAAAGTGCTGGGATTACAGGCGTGAGCCACCGCGCTCGGCCCAATTTTGTCTTTATTATAATCTTTGTCCACAAAGTTTATATCTTAACCCTAAGTAGTGAATAATGTTGGGAATTACATGCATTACAGTAAATTGATAGGAAAAATATTTGGGACAACCAGGCTACTAGTTTATAAGGAATCACTAGTCTTCCGTGTTTTCCTTGATGCAACTCATTTTCTGGTTCTATTGTTATCCCCTTACCGTGCATCCACCTCCCTCAAAATGAACAAAATCTCCCAAGGTGGGGACAGGTAAGGCAAAGCATATTCAATTTCATATCTATAAGTAATAAAATGTGCCTCAATTATAGTGAGTTATTGTCTATATCATAATCCAAAGTCATGCCTTGGAGAAGAGGATGAAGGTTAAGGATTTCCAGGGCTAGCTTTTAGTTCCCAAAGAAACATTAAAGTTGTGTTTAATGCAAAAGATACCAGCAAAGCAGTTCAGAATCTCATATATCTCTTTATTCTTTTATAAAAAATTGCTGAGACAGGATCTCACTCTGTTGTCCAGGCTGGAATGCAGTGGTGTCATCATGACTCACTGCAGCTTCAAACTCCTGGGCTCAAGTGATCTGCCCACCTCAGCCTCCCTGGGACTGCAGGCACATGCCACCAAGTCCAGCTAATTTTATTTATTTAAACTTTTTCCAGAGATGGTGGTCTCACTAGGTTGTTCAGGCTATTCTCATACTGTTGATCTCAAGCAATCCTCCTGCCTCAGCCTCCCAAAGTGCTGGGATTATAGGTGTGAGCCACCTTATGTAGCCTTATTTGTCTTTATTCTTTTAGGTGTCAAAATTCAGTTTATGTCCTTCATCTTTCTCAATTATTCTTTTTTCCCTAACAAAAATCATAATTAACTGGATTTTTTTTTTTGTTTGATGGAGTCTTGCTGTGTCACCAGGCTGGAGTGCAATGGTGTGATCTCGGCTCACTGCAACCTCTGCCTCCCGGGTTCAAGCGATTCTCCTGCCTCAGCCTCCCAAGTAGCTGGGACTACAGGCGCCCACCGCCACACCCAGCTAATTTTTGTATTTTTAGTAGAGACGGGGGTTTCACCATGTTGGCCAGGATGGTCTTGATCTCTTGGCCCACCTTGGCCTCCCAAAGTGCTGGGATTACAGGTGCCCAGCCTAACTGGATTTTTTAAAAGTAACTAAAATTTGGGTCATTTTTTTTTAGTAAAAGTAAAAGGCATAACAAAAAGGGAGCCTCCCGACCTTTTGAGTCTCTTTGTGCCTCTCAGAAACAATTGTAGATAATAGTTACCTGCATGCTCTCCACACCTAATTCTCTATGCACATATGTATATGTATGTGTATATTTTTTGGACAACTTTACATATTAGGGCAACTTGTCACATTCTTTTTAATATGTGCATTATATACTCCTGTACAAATGTAGTACTATATTTGATTTAACCAGATTCCTACTGATGGATATTTAGCTCTTTTCCAAATGTTCACAATGAAAAGCAATTATTTTAACTTAACTGATCAAAGCATACTTATAAGGCACATACTAAATGCCAAGCTGTGTTCTAAGCACTTTATAAAAGTGCGCTCATTTAATCTCTAAAATAACCCATTGAGGTAGGTTTTAATATTATCATCCCTGTTATACAGATGAGAACACCGAGGATAGAGTGAAGTAACTTGTCACTGGTCACACTGCTAGTGAAAGTCAGAATCCAACCTTGTTCTGGCTCAAGACTCCATGCCAACCTTTGGTAGGCTTTGATGCCTCTCTGTTGCTGCAACTCAGTTGTCTATTCCCAAAGTAGATCAGCTGCTAGGCATAAGGAATGAAAAATGCTTTTAGTAGCCAGCATTAGCAATGCTGTGAAAAAAACTAGGAAAGAAGATTTAAAAATTGACAGAATCGATCAAGACAGCCACTCCTATTCCACCCTACCACACCCATTCCAACAACCTCTGCAAAGATTTTTAAAAGGTAGACAGACCAAATTCCCCTGCAAATGTGACAAACTTCCCTGCAAACATGAAATTGCTTCTACCAGACACATTGAGGGAGTGGAGGTGGCAGCTCAAAGAGCTCTGGTTTTTAAATTGTGCAGAAAGACAGTACAGACACGAATGCAATTTTGTACAAAGCTTCACTGGAGTCCATGATTTTAAGTTAAGGGTAAACACAATCTAATCAAAGCCTTTTAAAATAATTTGTCTCAAGAAACCTTTTTATCAGGGCTATTTTCAGTCAGAGGAGAAACAGTTTTGTTGCTGAAAAGCTCAAAAGCCAAATGCATTAAATCCTTTTTCCCAGATGCAAAGCAATTGGTTCTCTGGTGCCAATTTTTATATTTCTTAAGAACGGTGGCCGGGCGCGGTGGCTCATGCTTGTAATCCCAGCACTTTGGGAGGCCGAGGCGGGCAGACCATGAGGTCAGGAGATCGAGACCATCCTGGCTAACATGGTGAAACCCCGTCTGTACTGAAAATACAAAAAATTAGCCGGGCGTGGTGGCGGACGCCTGTAGTCCCAGCTACTCGGGAGGCTGAGACAGGAGAATGGCGTGAACCCGGGAGGCGGAGTTTGCAGTGAGCTTAGATTGCACCACTGCACTCCAGCCTGGGTGACAGAGCGAGACTCTGTCTCAAAAACAAAAACAAACAAACAAACAAAAAACAAGAATGGCATTGCATGCTGCCAGTGATAACACTGAATACTGTTTGAATCTCAATACTGGCAATACTGTTTGAATCTCGAAAGACTTGAGAACCCTGCCAATGTTTTGGGTTTTAAACTTGAGAAAGCCCACCCTCCCATTCCCAAGGGTAAATATGAAACATAACTTTCAGTTCCTCTTTGTACATTCAATGCTAATTAGCTCAGTGCTCTAATTTTATTTCTGGACTTTGGTACAGCTGAAGCTTTGCTGGTGTATTAGTAACGACATAAATGTTTGCACATTTCTGAGAGTCTGCGGATATGAATCACCTTGAGAGAAATAGCTTTGATCACAGCGTGAGAGCTACATTTCAACAATTTCTTTACTGTGTTGATGTTATTGGTGGTAAAAAGGGAATTTGAACTTTAGAATGAAAAAACTAGAAGATAAATAAAAGAGAGGGAGCTCCTGCAAAGTATATGTAACTCTTAGATCAGGCAGTCCAAAGAGAAAAAAATCAGAAAATTAATGGCTCATTTGGGAGACACAAATTAATTTGATGATATGATAAAAGAAAAAAATAACATTTTCCTAGGTTTAGAAGAATTTACAAATAAATTTTCAGAAATGTCGAAAATCTTTGAAATGTTTCTTGACATTTCATTTGACAACCCCAGAGGTCAGACCCACTGAGGGTTCAAAGGCTGTTGGCCTCCCACTTCCATCTGATGGTCCCTCATATCTGATATGTCCCTTCCCATCTAGTGTGCTCTCATTATACCACATGAGACACACACTCCAGGAGGGGATTTGAGCTCTCAATAGCCATTTTGTTCTGCTCTTGCAAGTGAAAGATGAATCTTCACATCCAAAAATTAAATATACATCATTGCTCTGTTTGGAACGACATTTCATAAGTCTACATCTACATCACAAATACAAACTAAGAGAATAATTACCAAGGCCTGGGAAGAGTGGTGGGGTGGAGATGAAGAGAGTTTGATTAATGGGTACAAACATACAGTTAGATAGAAAGAATAAGTTCCAGTGTTCGACAGCACAGTAGGATGACTATAGTTAATAATTCATTGTGTATTTCAAAATAGCTAGAAGAGAAGATGTGAAATGTTTTCAACACAAAGAAATGATAAATGTTTCAGGCAAGATATCCTGAATACTCTGATTTGATCATTACACATTGTATGCATGTATCAAAATATCACATTTACCCATAAATATGCACAATTATATATCAATGAAAATTTTTTTTTGCCTGGGGGTAGTGGTTCACACCTGTAAGCCCAGCACTTTGTAAGCCAAGGTGGGAGGATCGCTTGAGCTTAGGAGTTCGAGACCACCCTGGGCAAAATGGCAAAATCCCATCTCTACAAAAAATACGAAAATTAACCAGGCTTGGTGGCATGTGCCTGTAGTTTGAGCTAATCAAGAGGTTGATGTGGGAGGATCATGGGTCACCTGAGCCCAGGAGGTCGAGGCTGGAGTGAGCCATGGTGGCGCCACTGCAGCCAAGCCTGGGTGACAGAGCCAGACCCTGTCTTAAAAAAAAGACAAAAGAAGCATTTGTTTTTTCTTGGTTTTATATCATCTATGTAGAAAACATGTGTGAAAGACTTTGAAATGTACCAAAAGATTACTGAGTGACTTCAATGGAAAACAGTGTTCTGCTTATGGTGTGCCCTTGGGTTATCTGGTTCTATGGAGCATGTGTCTTTCATTGTCTTTGAGCTATCTTACAACTCTGCAAGTTATAGCTAAAAGATTTTGCAAACATTTTTGTCAATAGACCTGCAAATAAGTTCCACCTGGTGGAGACACAATTGATTTATCCACCCTGCAGAAATAGCCAGTTTTGCATCTATTTGCAAATTTGTTTCATGGCTTATGTATATATCTCCTCTTTTCAAATTCCCCTTGGAATCAGTTATAAAAAAATCTTATTTTTCATTGAATTGATTTCATTTTGAGGGTTCTTTTAAAATTTCCATCAGTACATCCTTGAAGTAAGCAGAAACATTTGTGTCATCATTGTAATATTTGAATATCCAGAACAGACAGAAGACCAGAAGTTTATAGGAATAGAATTTGTTAACTTCTTACAGAACCTACAGCTAATGGAAATAGAAGGGAGAGACTCAGGGAGAAGGATGAAGGTTTGTTCAGTCTAATGGTGAACCACAGCATACCCTGCCTCCACAGCAATCTCTTTACCTCTGACTTTTATAACAGAAAAAAAAAAAGACATTTCATTAAATTTTCAAACAACGTGCAGCTAGAAAAAAATAGTTAATTGTTTGGATGATAAAACTGGGCATTCAAAAATATTTTGACTGTCTGGAAACATTGAATCACATCTCAAAGAATGAATATCACTTGGCATAGATGTAAAGTCCTACCTTTATGTTTAAAAATCCAATTACATGAGTAAAAAATGGGGGAAAATATGGTTTTTTTGCTTGTTTATTTTTTGTTTTGTATTTTTGCTTTTTTTTTGTTTTGTTTTTTTTGAGACCAAGTCTTGCTCTGTCGCCAGGCTGGAGTGCAGGGACGCGATCTCGGCTCACTGCAACCTCTAACTCCTGGGTTCAAGCAATTCTCCTGCCTCAGGCTCCTGAGTAGCTGGGACTACAGGTGCGCGCCAGCACGCCCAGCTAATTTTTGTATTTTTAGTAGAGACAGGGTGGTTTCACCATGTTGGCCAGGATGGTCTCGATCTCTTGACCTCGTGATCTGCCCTCCTCAGCCTCCCAAAGTGCTGGGATTACAGGCATGAGCCACTGCGTCCGGCCGAAAATATGGCTTAATAAAATCCCATTTGATAAGATAGAGATTTTAGCTGAATGACACTCCAAATGATCTAATATAATTTGGTTGCCATAGACTTTTTTTTTTTTTTATGGAAATGGAGTATCACTCTTGCCCAGTCTTGCCCAGGCTAGTCTCGAACTCCTGAGCTCAGGCAATCCGCTCGCCTCGGCTTCCCAAAGTGCTAGGATTAAAGGTGTGAGCCACAATGCCCAACCCTTTTTTTTTTTTTTTCTGAGACGGAGTCTCTCTGTTGCCCAGGCTGGAGTGCAGTGGTGCCATCTTTGCTCACTGCAACCTCTACCTCCCGGGTTCAAGCAATTCTCCTGCCTCAGCCTCCTACAGGCACCTGCTACCACGCCTGACTAATTTTTATATTTTTAGTAGAGACGGGGTTTCGTCATGTTGGCCAGGCTGGTCTCGAACTCCTGATCTCATATGATCCGCCCTCCTCGGCCTCCCAAAGTGCTGGGATTACAAGTATGAGTCACCGCGCCCAGCCACCGAAGATATTTGATGACAAACTCCATCCAAGCACAGCATTAGCTCCTGGTCAATCAAAACCCATGTGTTTTTTGCATTCTGTACTGAACAATTTAAGGATATACTGGCAAATACAGAACATCCAGATAAGTGCAACCAAGATATGGAAAGGGTTTTATAAACCATATCATATGAGAGTCATTGTGGAAGAAATTTTGAGTTACTGGGTTGCAAGAGATTTAGGGGAGAGAGGTAGGATGCCAGTTGAAAGAAGATTCCTACAGATCTAAACTAGGACCAAACAGTGGAATTTGCATAAAAACAAATTTTAGGTCAATATAAGGAAAAATATGGAGTTGGATCCCCTGCAGAGAGTCCCCACCAGGGCACTGCCTAGTAGAGCTGTGGGAACAGGGATAGTGCTCTCCATACCCCAGAATTATAGAGCAACCAGCAGCGTTTAATCTCCGCCTGTAAAAAACACAGGCATTGGACTCTAATCACGAGAGAAGCCAATGGGCTGTGCCCAGCAAAACCATGGGAACTGGGCTGCCCAAAACCTTGGGAGCCTACCTCTCGTACAAGTGTGCCCAGGATGTGGAGTGTGGAGTCAAGCTAGATCATCTTGCAGCTTTAAGATTTAATGTCTACCCTGCTGAGTTTCAGACTTGCATGGGGCCTGTGTTACCTCTTTCTTTTGGCTGATTTCTCCCTTTGGAATAGGAATGGTTACCCAATGCCTGTATAATCATTGTATCTTAGAAGTAAATAACTTGTTTTTTATTTTACAGGCTCACAGCTGTAAGAAACTTGGCCTTGAGTCTCAGATGAGACTTTGGACTTCAGACTTTGGGTTGATGCTGGAACAAGTTGACTTTTGGGGACTATCAAGATGGAATGATTGTATTTTGCAATGAGAGAAGAGTATGAGTTTTGGGAGGGCCAGGGGTGAAATGCTATGGTTTGAGGCTTCCAAATCTCATGTTGAAATTTGATCTCCAGTGTTGGAGGTGGGGCCTAATAGGGTGTGTTTGGGTCATGGGGGCAGATATCTCTGAATGGCTTGGTGCAGTCCTTGTGGTAATGAGTTGAGTTCTTGCTCTATCAGTTCCCATGGGAGCCTATTGTTAAAAAGTCCATCACTTCCCTCTCTTTCTCTCTCACCATGTGATCTCTGCACACATGCCAGCTCCCCTTCTCTTTCCACCATGAGTGGAACCAGCCTGAGGTCCTCACCAGAAGCTGATGCTGGTGCCATGCTTCTTGTACAGCCTGCAGAACCGTAGGCCAAATAAACCTCTTTTCTTATAAATTACCAGCCTCAGATATTCCTTTATAGCAACACAAATGGACTAAGACAAATATGTATATTTGTATAACATGAGTTCATAATTTACTTGTGATTTTTAATGTTTAAAACCCATATATGATATCATTTCTTTAATAAATTATTTTAGTTATTTGAATAATTCAACCAAGAATGATAGTCTTTTGTTAGGCACAGGAGGTATGATAGGTGGCCCAAGGGTTTTCTGCCTCACTGAACATGGTACATGTATCTTTATTAAAGGTACCTCCCCAAATTCCAAACCTGAAAAAGATGATGAACTTCTAGTCAAGAATAATCTGATTGAAGATAAAATAGAATTGTATACCTGAAGACGATCGGATTCTTGTGTCCAACCTCACTCTCAATCTAGTGGGGACTCATTCTACTCAATCTACTCTGCACTCATTCACATTTCTACCTTTGCCACAATTATTCTAGGGTACCTAGTGTCAGGATGACTGATACCATTTGGGATACTGATAATAGTGGTGTAGCAATTCCTCTACAACACTTATATACCCTGACAGTAATTTTTGGTACTGTTCAGGAAATAAAAGTCCTCACCTCCTAGGCAGTAAGGACTGGAGCTGTAGAAACATTTTCTGCCCTGGACCTTACCCCACAGTGAAGGCCTTTACTTTGCCCTATACCAGCCACTAATGTCAATGGGAGCTTTTCTGCCAAAGAGTTTCTTCTATGTAGCCCTGGCTCCAAAGTACTGTGCCAAGAATTTATTCTTGTTTTGTTTTGTTTTGTTTTTGAGACAGAGTTTCACTCTCACCCAGACTGAAGTGCAGTGGTGTGATCTTGTCTCACTGCAAGCTCCGCCTCTCAGGTTCAAGTGATTCTCCTGCCTCAGCCTCCTAAGTAGCTGGGACTACAGGTGCCCGCCACCACGCCCAGCTAATTTTTTGTACTTTTTAGTAGAGACGGGGTTTCACTGTGTTAGCCAGGATGGTCTTGATCTCCTGACCTCGTGATCCGCCTGCATTGGCCTCCCATAGTGCTGAGATTACAGGCGTGAGCCACTGTGCACAGCCAAGTATATTCTTAACCCCTCCATCAGATTACTCATGCCAATATTTTCACAGCTTAATTTTTTTAAGCCATAAAAATTGCTACTGGCTACCTTGATTTTGTTGTTGTTGGTGTTGGTGGTGGTGGTGGTTGTGGTGGTGTTATGTTAGGGAGAAAAATGACATGCAAGTGAAAAAGCAAATGGATCCATTGCAGCCTTCATGTTGAGTATGAAATGGGGGAAATTTGTTTCTAGGTGTGTAATGTAGTCAACTCTAAAAATTAATGCAAGTGGTCAGAAGTACGCTAGTAGTTATTTAAGTACTCTCCAGAAAAAAAAATAACTGATTTGCAACCTTGGTGCCCATCAACAGAGGATTAGATAAAGAAAATGTACATATACATCACGGAATACTAAGCAACCGTAAGCAAGAATGAAATCATGCCCTTTACAGCAATATGGATGCAGCTGAAGGCCATTACCCTAAGCAAATTAACACAGGAACAGAAACCAAATACCACATGTTCTCACTCGTAAGTGAGAGTTGAACACTGGGCATACACAGACACAGAGATGGGAACAACAGACACTGGGGACTACTAGACAGGGAGGGAGGGAAGTGGGGACTGAAAAACTACCTACTGGGTACTATGCTCACTCCCTAGGTGATGGGATCAGTCGTGCCTCAAACATCAGCATCACTCAATGTACCAGTGTAACAAACATGCACGTGTACCACTTGAATCTAAAATAAAATTTGCCATTTTTAAAAACTAAGAAAATAAGTGATTTGTAACATTTTCCAATTTCTGTGGTAAAAATACTTCCACGGTGGTCAATTTCAAGCTACTAAAATGAACATCGTTGAACTTGGGGTTGAGAAGAGACATGCTAATAGGCCCTTATGAGTCAAGTGAGCCCCCTCAGTTGGAAGTGGGGGCACCAATTTTGGCCGGTACTTAGGGGAAAAAATGCCTATGACATTTGACTCCTGGAGTGAATCATTTTTCATAAAAGATTCTGTAGAGTTATTTAAGGCTGGTTTGGACCTGGCACATTAAAATAAAGCAGTATTTGTTTATTTTTCCTGTCTTCTTGCCAACTATTTTGATCAGCTGTCCAAATTTACTTTCTTTCTAAAAAGTATCTTAAGAATGAGAATTGTATCTATTCTAATATTTATCTTGAAGTGCTTCCCATCATTGTGAAGTTTAATCTGTATTTTTATATCAGGAAGAAACTTTAATAACAAAGCCATGTGGTTGTAAGAAGAAATATAATTTTATATCTTTTTTTTATTTTTTGAGACGGAGTCTTGCTCTTTCACCCAGGCTGGAGTGCAAAATGGCATGATCTAGGCTCACTGCAACCTCCACCTCCCAGGTTCATGCCATTCTCCTGCCTCAGCCTCCCGAGTAGCTGGGATTACAGGCCTGCGCCACCACGTCCCACTAGTTTTTGTCTTTTTAGTAGAGACAGGGTTTCACCATGTTGGTCAGGCTGGTCTCAAACTCCTACCCTCAGGTGATTTGCCCACCTCAGCCTCCCAAAGTGCTGGGATTACAGGTGTGAGCCACCGTGCCCGGCCAATTTTGACTTTAGAATTATTCAAATACCAGTGATACTCCTTCCTCCGTAAATACACACATAGTTTGATCCCATTTAATATAATGACATCTGTTGTTTAAGGTTGATAATAATTTGGAGGTAAAGAAAAGAGTGGCAAAATCTCTTGGCTCAATATTCCATTCCCAACCCCTTCTTCCTTGCCTTCCTGAAAAGAAGCTGGAAAATTAAATTTTCCAAGAATCCTCTGTAGCTAGACTGGACAATTCCATGTTTAACAGGCCTGTCCAATACCATGCAAGTTGAAGCCTACTTAGGGATTATGAGAATGTTTTCCTGGCAAAAAGGAACCGATACAACTGTCAGCATCTTCTCTTTACCTTCTCCTTTTTTTCTGAGTTCAATGTGAGGATAATGCCTAGATCAGTGTCAGCTTAGATCATGGGGCAACTAGCATGATGATAAAAGCTAACACCATAAGATGGCAAATTAGAAAGAGAGATTAGTTGAATCCCGATAACACTGTCAAATCATTGACCATAATAGAGTGTCTACATCTAGACATTTCATTATGTGAAAAAACACCCCTCTTTCCCCTATGTTTTAAACTTTCATTGAAGTATAATTTTTATTTATTTATTTATTTGTTCTGAGACAGATTCTTGCTCTGTTGCCCAGGCTGGAGTGCAATGGCGGGATCTCGGCTTACTGCAACCTCCACCTCCCGGGTTCACGCCATTCTCCTGCCTCAGCCTCTCGATTAGCTGGGACTACAGGGGCTCGCCACCAGGCCCAGCTAATTTTTCTTATTTTTAGTAGAGACAGGGTTTCACCGTGTTAACCAGGATGATCTCAATCTCCTGACCTGCTGATCCGCCCTCCTCAGCCTCCCAAAGTGCTGGGATTACAGGTGTGAGCCACCGCGCCCGACCAATTTACATTTCATAAAATTCACCTATTGTTAAGTATACAAAGTCAGTGAGGTTTTTTGTTGTGGTGGTGGTTTTTTTTTTTCTTTTTCTTTTTCTTTTTCTTTTTTGAGAGAGTCTTGCTCTGCCGCCCAGGCTGGAGTGCAGTGGCTCAATGTCGGCTCACTGCAAGCTCCACCTCCCGGATTCATGCCATTCTCCTGCCTCAGCCTCCCGAGTAGCTGGGATTATAGGCGCCCGCCACCACGCCCGGCTAATTTTTTTGTATTTTTTTGGTAAAGACGGGGTTTCACCGTGTTAACCAGGATGGTCGCGATCTCCTGACCTCGTGATCCACCCGCCTCGGCCTCCCAAAGTGCTGGGATTACAAGCATGAGCCACCGCACCCGACCACAAAGTCAATGAGATTTATAATTTTTTTTTTTTTTTTTTTTTTTTTGAAATGGAGTCTCACTCTGTCGCCCGGGCTGGAGTGCAGTGACATGATCTTGGCGCACTGCAACCTCTGCCTCCCGGGGTCAAGCAATTGTCCCACCTCAGCCTTCCGAGTAGCTAAGACCACAGGCGTGAGCCACCACACCCGGCTAACTTTTGCATTTTTTGTGGAGACAAGGTTTCACCATGTTGGCCAGGCTGGTCTTGGACTCCTGGCCTCAAGTGATCCGCCCACCTTGGCCTCCCAAAGTGCTGGGATTACAGGTGTAAGCCACCGTGCCTGGTTAAGTTGCATAAATTTATAAAGTTGTGCAACCATCATAATCCACTTTTTCCTTCAAGTTAATTTTCAGTCAAGCCCCGTTACCACCACTGGCCCTTGGCAAACACTGATCAGCTTTGTGCCTCTAAACTTGCCTTTTCTGGAGATTCCATATAAATAGAATCATACAGCATTTAGTCTCACATCTGGTTTCTTTCATTTACAGTAATGCTTTTGAGGTTTACCTATGCTGTGACATGTACCAGTATTTTACTCCTTTTTAATATGGAATACTATTTTATTTGTATAGATATGGCTTAATATTTTTTATCCATTTGTCTATTAATTGATAATTGTGTTGTTTTCAGCTTGAGTCTATTACCAAAAATGCTGATATAAACATTCATGTATAAGTCTTGATGTGAACTTATGTTTGCATTTCTCTTGGAGAGATTCCTAGGAGTAAAATAGGGGGATCAAGTGGTACATTTATGTCTAACTTTTACAGAAATTGACAAACTTTTCCAAAATGACTGTAGTATTTTATATTCCCACCAGCAATGTATGAGAGTTGCAGTCTTTCTACATATTTGCCAATATTTCATATTATTTGTCTTTTTAAATATAGCCATTCTTAGTAAGTATATAGTGGCTTTTTTTTTTCTTTTTTTTGAGACAGAGCCTCTATCGCCCAGGTTGGAGTGCAGTGGCACAATCTTGGCTCACTGCAACCTCCGCCTCCTGGGTTCAAGTGATCCTCCCAACTCAGCCTCCCAAGTATCTGGGGCCACAGATGTGCACCACCACACCTGACTAATTTTTTGTGTTTTTGGTAAAGAGGGGCATCTGCCACGTTGCCCAGGCTGGTCCTAAGCTCCTGAGGTCAAGCGATCCGCCTGCCTTGGCCTCCCAAAGTGCTAAGATTACAGGCATGAGCCATGGCCCCAGCCTAGTGGCATCTTACTATACTTTCAATTTTAATTTCCCTAATAACTAATGATGTTAAACACTTTTCCATGTGCTTATTAGCCATTCAAATGTCTTCTTCGGTAAAATGTCTGTTCAAGTCTTTTGTCCATTTTTACTTTAAAAATTTTGTATTGATTTTTATTTTTTGAGATTGGGTATCACTCTATCACCCAGACTGGAGTCTAGTGGCGTGATCACTGCTCACTTCAGCCCTGACCTTCCAGACTCAAGTGATCCTCCCACCCTCGGCCTCCCGAGTATCTGCAACTACAGGCATGGACCACACATGCCCAGCTAATTTTTTTAAAAATGTTTTGTAGAGACAGGGTTTCCCTATGATGCCCAGGATGGTCTCAGACACTCTTGGACTCATGCACTCCTCCTGCCTTGGACTCCCAAAGTGTTGGGATTACAGATGTGAGCCACCATGCCTTGCCCAGTCCATTTTTAATTGAGTTGTTTGTCGTATTTTTGAGCTGTAAGAGGTTTTTGTTTGTTTTTGACACAAAGTCTTGCACTGTCGCCCAGGCTGGAGTGCCATGGCGCAATCTCGGCTCACTGCAACCTCTGCCTCTTGGGTTCAAGTGATTCTCCTGCTTCAGCCTCCCAAGAGGCTGGGATTACAGGTGCCCGCCACCACGCCTGGCTAATTTTTTGTATTTTTAGTAGAGACGGGGTTTCACTATGTTGGCCAGGCTGGTCTTGAACTCCTGACCTCGTGATCCGCCCACCTCAGCCTCCCAAAGTGTTGGGATTACAGGTGTGAGCCACTGCGCCTGGCCACTGTATGAGTTTTTATAGATTGTAGGTACATGTCCATGAGATATATGATTTGCAAATGTTTCTCTGTGGCTTATCTTTTTATTTTCTTAATGTTGTTTTGGAGGCACAAGTTTTTTATTTTAATGAAATCCAATTTATTGATTTATTATTTTATGGCTTGGGCTCTGTGTCATATCTGAACTCTTTGCTAACCCAAGGACATGGAGATTTACCCCCCTTTTTTTTTTTTTTTTTTTGAGATGGAGTTTACTCTGTCACCTAGGCTGGAGTGCAGTGGTACGATCTTGGCTCACTGCAACCTCTGCCTCCCAGGTTCAAGAGATTCTTCTGCCTCAGCCTCCTGAGTAGCTGGGATTACTGGTGCCCACCACCATGCCTAGCTAATTTTTGGATTTTTAGTAGAGACGGGGTTTTGCTATGTTGGCCAGGATAGTCTCGAACTCCTGACCTCAAGAGATCCACCCACCTCAGCCTCCCAAAGTGCTGGGAATACAGGCGTGAGCCACCACGCCTGGCCCCCTAGGTGTTTTCATAAAGGTTGTACCACTTCAATTCTTTTAAGGCTATGATGTCTTTTGAGCTCATTTTTGAGTATAGTGTGAGATAAGATTCCATGTTTGTTGATTTATATGTATATATATAATCTATTGAGGTATTGCTATTTTTTTGTAGTGGATATCCAGTAAGCCTCATCACTATTTGACAAAAAGACTTTCCTTTCTCCATTTGTCGTGACACCTTTGTTGACACCTTCATTTCTGCATTCTCAATTCTATTTCACTGGTCTATGGCAGAGAACACAAAATATGGCCAGTGGCCTAAATCCAGCCTACTACCTTTTTTTTTTTTTTGTAACATTTTACTAACATAGCCATTCCCATGTGTTTCCATGTGTCTGGGCTGCTTTTGCACTCTAATGGCAGAGTTAAGAAATTGTAGCAGAGACCACAATGCCTCAAATATTTACTCTACAGCCCTTTATAAAAACAGTGTGCCAACTCCTGATTTATGAACTTATCATTATGTCAATACCATACTGTCTTTATTACTGTAGTTTTATAAGTCATGACATCAGATAATGTAAATCCTCCAACTTTGTTTTTAATCAAAAGTGTTTTGGCCATCCTAGATAATACTTTGTATTGCCACATAAATTTGAAGATCAGCCTGTCAGTGTCTACAAAATAGCATGCTAGGATTTTGATAGGGATTGTGTAGAATCTATAGATTAATTAGAGGAGAATGACTATCTTGACAATACTGCTGCCCCTCTGTATTCGTGGGGGATTGGTTCCACAACAACACCCACCCCCCACTCGGCAACCCCTGAAACCCCCACATCCCCCAGCTTTTTTCCCCTGCTACCAAAATCCATGGATGCTCAAGTCCATATAAAATGCCATACTATTTGCATATAACCTCTGCAATCCTCCCCTATAGTTTAGATCATCTCTAGATTACTTATAATACTAATAAAATCTAAATGCTATGTAAATAGTTGCTATACTGTGTTGAGGGTTTTTTGTTTTGTTTTGTTTTATTTGTTTGTTTGTTTGTATTTTAAGAGATGGTGTCTTGCTTTGTTGCCCAGGCTGGAGTGCAGTGGTGAGATCATAGCTTACTGCAGCCTCAAACTCCTGGACTCAAACAGTCCTCCCACCTCAGCCTCCCAAAGTGCTGGGATACAGGTGTGACCCACTGTGCCCAGTTATTATTTTTTATTTGTATTATTTTACTGTTGTATTATTTTTAATTATTTTTTCTGAATATTTTCCATCTATAGTTGGTTGAATCATGGATGTGGAACAGGCAAATATGGAGGGCTAACTGTATTGCATCTTCCAGTTCATGAGTATGCAGTCTCTCTGTTTATTTAAAGTTTTAGTTTTTCTCAACCATGTTTACTTTTCAGTATACAAGACTTTGACGTTTTTTGTTAAATGTATTTGTAAGTATTTTATTATTTGTGATGTTATTTAAAAAGAAATTGTTGACTGGGCACAGTGGCTCACGCCTGTAATCCCAGCACTTTGGGAGGCTGAGGCGGGCAGATCACGAGGTCAGGAGATCAAGACCATCCTGGCTAACATGGTAAAACCCCGTCTCTACTAAAAATAGAAAAAAATTAGCCAGGCGTGGTGGCGAGTGCCTGTAGTCCCAGCTACTCGGGAGGCTGAGGCAGGAGAATGGTGTGAACCTGGGAGGCGGAGCTTGCAGTGAGCTGAGATCGTGCCACTGCATTCCAGCCTGCGTGACAGAGCGAGACTCTGTCAAAAAAATAAATAAAATTTAAAAAAAGAAGAAGAAATTATTTTCTTAATTTCATTTTCAGGTTTTTTATTTATTTCTACTATATGGATACATGATTGATTTTTGTATATTGATCATGTATCCTGCAAACTAGCTAACATAGTTTATTATTTCTCTTTTTTTGTGGATTTTAAAGGATTTTCTACATAGATAAATAAACACACATAAACAGTTTTACTTCTTTCTTTTCAACCTAGACTGGATGCATTTTTTGTTTTTGTTTGTTTGTTTGCTTTTTAACTTGCTGCAGTGACTAGAGAATGTATTGAAGAATATATTGTTGAACAAAAGCAGTGAGAGTGGACATCCCTGCTTTCCCCCTGATTTTAGGGGGAATGTTTTCAGTCTTTCACTATTTAATATGATTTTAGCTATAGGTTTATCCTAGATCCCTGTTATCATGTTGAGGAAATTCCCTTCTATTTCTAGTTTGTTGAGATTTTTTAATTCATATATAGGTATTGGATATTTTTCACATGTTTTTCTTCATCAGTTGAGATAGTCATGTGATTTTTGCTACTTACTATTCTATTAATATGGTATATTACATTAATTGATTTTTTTAGGTGTTGAACCAACCTTGCATTCCTGAAATACATCACACTTGTTCATGATGTATAACCTTTTTAATACACTTGAATTCTGTTCTTGAATTCATTTTTCTAATATTTTGTGAATTTTTTTTGTGTGTATGTACATGATACTGGCTATCATCTTTTCTTGTGATTGCGCTATCTGGCTTTGCTCTCAGGGTAATATTGGTCTCCTGGCATGAGTTTAAAGGTGTTCCCTCCCCTCTATTTTCTAATAGTTTGGTGAAAATTGGTATTACTTTAAGTATTTAATAAAATTCACCAATAAAGCCACTTGGACCTGAGCATTTTTTTTGTGGTAATACAGTATTTCTAATTGCTAATTAGATTTCTACTAGAAATTACTGGCACAATTTCTCTTTTTGTTTTAGGTATATTCAGATTTTCTATTTCTTCCTCAATTAGTTTTTGGAATTTGTGTCTTTCTGCAACTCTCTCCCCACCTGCCCAATTTCAAAGTTTGTCTTATTAGTTAGCATAATATTGCTTATAATATTCTTTATACCCTTTCAAATTTTGATAGAATCATTAGTGATAGCCTCTCTTTTGTTCTTAATTTTGGTAATTTGTGTTTTCTCTCTTATTTTCTTTGTCAATCTACCTAAGGGTTTGTTAGTTTTATTGTATTTTTGATTTTATCTATTTTCTCTATTTTGTAGGGGGTGGTTTCTCTGTCAGTGATTTTCATTCTAATCTTTATTATTTCCTTCTTACGCTTGCTCTGGGTTTAGTTTTCTCTTATTTTTCTAGTTTTTTAAGTTGGAATCTTAAGTTATAGATTTGTGAACTTTCTTCTTTCCTGATACTAGCTTTGCTGCAGATTTGATGATATTTCTTAATGAATTCAATTTAAAACTACCAGGTAAAACAGTGCTTATATGTAAAGTTTATACCATGGTAAGATCATTTTGACAGCTAATGTTTAAATTACAAATAATATCAAAATGCTTTGCATATCTTCTGTGCTGGCAAAAGCTAAAATAAGAAGGAAGATCTGCATTAATATGCTAATTTTCAGCAGATGTATTTTCTGATCTTAAACTCTGAGATAAGACTCTGATAGGATTCTAAAAATGCCTTTCAAGCAATGAATATGGTCTGTGTTTGTTATTTGATACCAATATTTGGCAGTACCTGTCTGTGTAAAAAGCCATTTTCAAACATGAAATACAGAAAGTCTCATTACAGATCAGCATAAACATAAGAACATTTGCAGTTGACTGATGTTAGGGAATACTAAATTTGAACGCTAATTAAGCAAAATGTCATCTCAGAAAAAGAATTGCATTCTTTTGATTAGACCTGTATTACAAAAAGTTCTTAATTATTATGATTATATTTTGAATTTCATCAATGAAAAATGCATGAAAATTTATTTTCTCATGTTATATAGATAACATCATACATAAGATCCTTGATTGCTTCTTGACCTATAAAACCTAAAATATTTATGATTTGGCACCTGACAACAAGAGTTTGCCAGCCCCTGTCTAAGATAATATCTGCCTAACAAATTAAAGGGTTACCTGATCTGGGAAATGATAACATCTCTAGCACCTCTAGAATTTTTCATACACAATGTCTGGCATTCAAAGAAAAATTACTAAGTATTTTTAGCAATAAAATCAAATTACTAAAAGCCAAGAGAAAAAAATAGACAATAGGAACAGAAAGATATGTATTATAGATACTGGAGTTATCCAATAAAAATTTTATTCAGGCAAGTATATATATATTATATATAACATATTTATACTAATATATATTATATAATAATATATAATATAACATTTATAATACTACTTATTAATTTATAATATAATTTATATTTATTAATTTATAATATAATTTATATTTATTAATTTATAATGCAATTTATATGTATTAATTTATAATACAATACAAATTATATCCCAATTTATACAATAATTTATAATGTAATTTATTAATATAAATATAACAATTATAATATAATAATATATAATGTATATTATATATATTAGCAGAATCTTTTAAAGTTTATTTCAATAATTTTGGAGAACAAGTGGTTTTTGGTTACATAAATAAATTCTTTGGTGGTGATTTCTGAGAGATTTTGGTGCACCCATCATGCAGGCAGTGTACACTGTACCTACTATGTAGTCTTTTTTTTTTTGAGACAGAGTCTCCTTCTGTTGCCCAGGCTGGAGTGCAGTGGCGCAATCTCGGCTCACTGCAATCTCCACCTCCCGGGTTCAAGCGATTCTCCTGCCTCAGCCTCCTGAGTAGCTGGGACTACAGGTGCCTGCCACCATGCCCTGCTAATTTTTTTGTATTTTTAGTAGAGGTGGGGTTTCACCGTGTTAGCCAGGCTGGTCTCGATCTCCTGACCTCATGATCCACCTGCCTCAGCCTCCCAAAGTGCTGGGATTACAGGAGTGAGCCACCGTGCCTGGCATATGTAGTCTTTTATTCCTCATCCCCATCCCACCCTTCCCCCTGAGTCCCCAAAGTCCATTATATCATTCTTATGCCTTTGCTTTTTCATAGCTTAGCTCCCACTTACAAGTGAGAATGTATGATATTTGGTATTCCATTCCTGAGTTATTACACTTAGAATAATGGGCTCCAGCTCCATCCAATTTGCTATGAATGTCATTATTTCATTCCTTTTCATGGTTGAGTAGTATTCCATGGTGTATATATACCACATTTTTTTTTTTTTTTTTGAGACAGAGTTTCGCTCTTGTTGCCCAGGCTGGAGTGCAATGGCATGATCTTGGCTCACTGCAACATCCACCTCCCAGGTTCAAGCAATTCTCCTGCCTCTGCCTCCCAAGTAGCTAGGATTACAGGCACCTGCCACCATGCCTGGCTAATTTTTGTATTTTTAGTAGAGGTGGGATTTCACCACGTTGGCCAGGCTGGTCTTGAACTTCTGACTTCAGGCGACCTGCCCACCTTGGCCTCCCAAAGTGCTGGGATTATAGGCGTGAGCCACCGCCCCTGGCCTATACCACATTTTTTTAATCCCCTCATTGGTTAATGGGCATTAGGCTGGTTCCATATTTTTGTAATTGTGAATTGTGCTGCTATAAACATGCATGTGCAAGTGTCTTTTTCAAACAAGTCATATAATGACTTGTTTCCTGTGGGTAGATACCCAGTGGTGGGATTGCTGAATCGAATGGTAGTTCTACTTTAAGTTCTTTAAGGAATCTTCATACTATTTTTCATAGTGGTTGTACTAGTTCACAGTGCCACCAGCAGGGTAAAAATGTTCCCTTTTCGCCCCATCCATGCCAACATCTATTATTTTTTAAATTTCTTAATTATAGCCATTGCTGAAGGAGTAAGGTGCTATCTCATTGTGGTTTTAATTTGCATTTCCCTGATAATTGGTGATGTTGAGCATTTTTTCTTATGTTTGTTGGCCTTCTGTGTACCTTCTTTTGAGAATTGTCTGTTCATGTCCTTTGCCTACTTTTTGATGGGATTATTTGTTTTTTTCTTGCTGATCTGTTTGAGTTCCTTGTAGATTCTGGATATTAGTTCTTTGCTGAATGCATAGTTAGTGAATATTTTTTCCCATAAGAATATATTTTTGAAAAACAGTCAAAAATAGAGAATTTTTTTCAGATAATTGGAATATATGAGAAAATTTCCCAACCATCACAAAATCTAGAAGAAAGAATAATACTTCTATTAGTAATTTGTGAAATAACACCATAATGCTCTTTTCCAACTTTTTGGTCTGCTTACCCTTTCATTATTTCTTTGCATGAGAATAATTGATAATATTATTATATATGTAGACAATAGTTGGATTATTCAGTCTTTCCTCTAATATGATTGTTCATTTCCCACATTAATAGTAATTTTGGGTGCCATTTCCTCAGAAAGCATCAGACTTTGTCAGGGTAAACTGTGTAAAATACATTAAGATACAATTGAGTACAGGGGCCGGGTGCAGTGGCTCACACCTGTAATCCCAGCACTTTGGGAGGCCAAGACGGGTGGATCACCTGAGGTCAGGAGTTCGAGACCAGCCTGACCAAGGTGGTGAAACCCCGTCTCTACTAAAAATACAAAAATTAGTCGGCCGTGGTTTTACGTGCCTGTAGTCCCCGCTACTCAGGAGGCTGAGGCAGGAGAATTGCTTGAACCCAGGAGGAGGAGGAGGTTGCAGTGAGCCAAGATTGCACCATTGCCCTCCAGCCTGGGCGGCAGAGCAAGACTCTGTCTCAACAAAAAAAAAAAAAGAAAGAAAAAAATACAGTTGAGTACATTGGGATACATAAAAATTTGTGACTTCTTACACAGACATACTCACTCTTTATGGCACTGCTATTGGTTTGTGTTCTACAAATGCAGAAATTCTTGATAAATTTTATTTTACACAATTTCCATCAGAGAAAAAAATCCATAGTTGTATGCACTGTGTAACTGAGTATATGCATGACAGGAGAGAACTTTAGTATGGATTAGATGTTCATGGGAACCAAATCTTCCATTTATAATTTTTATTTTATTTATTTTATTTAATTTTATTTTGAGACAGGGTCTCACTCTATCACCAGGCTGGAGTACAGTGGCATGATCATGGCTCACTGCAGCCTTGACCTCCTGGGCTCAGGTGATGCTCCCACCTCAGCCTCCCACGTAGCTGAGACTACAGGTGCACACCACCACACCCAGCTAATTTTTTTTTTCATTTTTTGTAAAGACAAGCTTTCGCCACGTTGCCTAGTCCAGCGTCGAACACCTGAACTCAAGCAATCTACCCACCTTGACATCCCAAAGTGTTAGGATTACAGGAGTGAGCCACCATGCCTGGCCTCATTTATAATTTTTAAATGTTTGATATTTGGAAGAATTTTCCACAGACTGTTTTTGCCTCTCTACATTTCAATCTTTATTTTTCCTCCACTATACATTTGCTCCCAGTGTTGTCTAAACTATGATATGTTCATGTAGTGATACAATCTCTGGCTCCGCACCTACGTGTCATGAGGAAGGATGATTTAGCACAGTGAACAGTAGAAATACTCCTAAAATCTACTCCCACATCAGAACAGCTACCAATAATTTATATATAAATGAAAGTGACTATAAATCACATAAATATATCCTTCTAAACCTAAATTTAATGTATCCGTAGGTCAACTTCTTCTTGGCTAGATCCCAAAATTGAATATCACCACCTTTCCTTCCTTGATAAAGCTGGCACAGGTGTGTCAAGTGATGATTTCATCAGTCCTACAAACTAGAAAAGTAGAGGAAATGTGCCTTTAGAGCAGCATTGTCAAAGAGAAATGTAATGTGAGCCATGTCAAAGAGAAATGTAATGTGAGCCACATATGTACATTTAATTTTGAAGTAGTAACATTTTAAATAAAACAGGAAAAAGACAGAAATTAATTTTAATATGCTTTATTTAGCTTAGTACATTCTAAATATTATTTCAACATGTAATCAAATTAATTTTTTGTGAAATTGATTTTTGAGATGACTTTTTTGTACAAAACCTTTGAAGGAAGTTGTAATGGAGAGAAAGTTGGAATGGAAAGAGACAATGGCCTTAACTTATTGTTGTTGAAAATATCTTATTTTTAAAAGGTTACAAAAATACATTTCTTTGCGAGTACATTGCCTGGAACCCCAGCCAGGGACTTGGAAGGAACTGAGGCAAATGAAATGTCCTGAAGCTTAAGCTTCATTAGCTAGAAGGATAAAGGAGAAACAAATATTATTGGCAAAACCGTAATTACTTTTGCACCAACCTAATAACAATCGGTATGCACTGGAGACTAGGGAGCTGAGAAGACAGAGGACAAGGATAAAAAAGAAACACTCTGCCATTTGCATTTTATCTTTCTGATGTTTGTGTTGCCTATTAAAAATTAAATTTGGGCTGGGTGTGGTGGCTCATATTTGGGAGGCTGAGGCAGGTGGATCATCTGAGGTCAAAAGTTCGAGACCAGTCTGGCCAACGTGGTGAAACCCCATCTCTACTAAAATACAATGATTAGCTGGGCATGGTGATGGGTGCCCGTAACCCCAGCTACTTGGGAGGCTGAGGCAGGAGAATCACTTGAACCCGGGATGCAGAAGTTGCAGTGAGTGGAGATTGTGCCATTGCACCCCAGCCTGGGTGACAAGAGCGAAACTCAGTCTCAAAAGATAAAAAATATAGGCCGGGCGTGGTGGCTCACTACTGTAATCCCAGCACTTAAGAAGGTCAAGGTGAGTGGATCACGAGGTCGGGAGTTCGAGACCAGTCTGGCCAGCATGGTGAAACCTCATCTGTACTAAAAATTTAAAAAAAGAAATTAGCTGGGCATGGTGGGGTGCACCTGTAATCCCTGCTACTCAGGAGGCTGAGGCAGTAGAATTGTTTGAACCCAGGAGGCGGAGGTTGCAGTGAGCAGAGATCACGCCACTGCACTCCAGCCTGGGCAACAGAGCAAGACTCTGTCTCAAAAATAATAATAATAATAATAATAAAAGTAAACGTTTTAATTGAGGCCAAATATTACAAATTGGAAATGAGTGGCGAATACATTAGGCACTAAGTGAACACTGCTAGAAGCCTAACTAAAAAAAAAGTTGACAACCAGTGAATAAAGCATCTATCCAAGAATTCTGAGGGTTATCCATAGACCCTAAATACCAAACAACTAGTAGGATAATCATTCCATTTATCATCAACCGTCAGTCTCTCTCTCCTTCACAAATATTACACTGAAATATATCTAAGTATTGCATAATTCAATTCTTAATTTAATTACATGGATACAAAAATTCTGCTAATATTAATTCAGAAAGTGGAGAACTTGAAAGTTGCGCTATGGCCCTAGCCTCATTTGTCTACTAAGCACGTAAAACGTGCCTAGTACAAATTGAGATGTGCTATAGGTGTAAAATACCTACCGTATTCAAAGATTTTGTAAAAAATTGATCTCAAAAATTAATTTCACAAAAAATTAATTTGATTACATGTTGATATAATGTTTAGAATGTACTAGGCTAAATAAAGTATATTAAAATTAATTTTATTCTTTTTCCTGGTTTTTTTTTTTTTTTTTGGAGACAGAGTCTCGCTCTGTCACCAGACTAGAGTGCAGTGGTGCAATCTCGGCTCACTACAACCTCCGTCTCCCTAGTTCAAGTAATCAAGTAATTCTCCTGCCTCACCCTCCCGAGTAGCTGAGACTACAGGTGCACGCCACCACGCCCAGCTAATTTTTGTATTTTTAGTAGAGACGAGGTTTCACCATATTGGCAAGGCTGGTCTCAAACTCCTGACCTCAGCTAATCTGCCCTTCTCGGCCTCCCAAAGTGCTGGGATTGCAGGCGTGAGCCACCGCGCTCAGCCTCTTTTTCCTGTTTTATTTAAAACGTGGCTACTTCAAAAATTAAAGGTACATGCATGGCTCACGTTACATTTCTATTTGACAATGCTGCTCTAAAGGCACATTTCCTCTGCTTTTCTAGTTTGTAGGACTGATGAAGATATCACTTGACACACCTGTGCCAGCTTTATCACTTTTCAAGAGAAAGTTAAATTCCAAAATACCAAGAGCAAAAAAACCTCCCAGAATGAGAAAATTACATATCTATCACTATAATTGAATAGATCTATTAAAGTGTTATATAATTACATTGTTTCACAAGTTTGAAATCATCTCAAGAATTCTCTTTAAAGTAATAAGTAGTTTCTCCAAATAGTTCATTCTAGTTTTTTTATTACCAACACATTTTATGCCTCTCTTAAATATCTTAAATTATATAAAATGAGAATGATGAATTTTTATAATCTTTAGAAAATAATCTTATAAGGAAAAATTTATAAGCAAGCAAAAAACAGACATACAAAATCTGATTTTTTTTAAGGAGTCAAATTCATTTATAACAGTAAGTAGTGTACTGGCTTACCCTTCAATATCAGTCTACAGATAAAAAACTTGGCTGGGTGCAGTGGCTCACACCTGTAATCCCAGCACTTTGGGAGGCCGAGGCGGGTGGATCACGAGGTCAGGAGTTCGAAACCAGCCTGACCAACATGGTGAAACTCCGTCTCTACTAAAAATACAAAAATTAGCCGGGCGTGATGGCGTGTGCCTGAATTCCAGCTACTCAGGAGGCTGAGGCAGGAGAATTGCTTGAACCTGGGAGTTGGAGATTGCAGTGAGCTGAGATCGCACCACTGCACTCCAGCCTGGGTGACAAAGCGAGACTCCATCTCAAAGACACACAAACCCTTAAGGCAAGGTGCTTCAACATATAAAAATTATGATAATATACTACATTAACAGAATGAAGGGAAAAAAGCTACATGGTCATCTCAATTGATGTAGCAAAAGAATTCTCGACAAATTCAGCACCCTTTCATGACAAAAATACACTCAACAAATTAGAAGTAGAAGAAAATGGCCAAGCGCGTTGGCTCACGCCTGTAATCCCAGCACTTTGGGAGGCTGAGGCGGGCAGATCACGAGGTCAGGTGATCGAGACCATCCTGGCTAACACGGTGAAACCCTGTATCTACTAAAAATACAAAAAAAAAAAATTAGCTGGGCCTGGTGGCGGGCGCCTGTAGTCCCAGTTACTCGGGAGGCTGAGGCAGGAGAATGGTGGGAACCCGGGAGGCAGAGATTGCAGTGAGCCGAGATCGTGCCACTGCATTCTAGCCTGGGTGACAGAGCGAGACTCCGTTTGGAAAAAAATAAAATAAAATAAAATAAATAAATAAGTAGAAGAAAACTAGATGCTGGGCATGGAGGCTTATACCTGTAATGGTAGCACTTTGGGAGGCTAATGAGGGAGGGTCACTTGAGCCCAGGAGTCTGAGACTAGCCTAGGCAACACAGTGAGACCCCATCTCTACAAAAAGTACAAAAAAAAAAAAAATCAACCCCATTTGGTGATGTGCACCTGTAGTCCCAGCTACTTGGAAAGCTGAAGCGGGAGGATCTCTTGAGCCTGGGAGGTCGAGGCTGCAGTGAGCAATGATGTTGCCACTGCACTCCAGCCTGGGCGACAGAGCTAGACCCTGTTTCAAAAACAAACCAACCAAACAAAAAAAAACAAAGAAAACTACTTCAAAATAATAAAGCCTATATATAAAAAACCAACAGCCAACATCACACACAATGAGGAAAGTCTGAAAACTTTAAGATCAGGAAAAAGACAAGTTATTTCACATCTTCTCCAGCAGTTACTATTTTCAGTTTTTTATTTATTTTTATTTTTTATTTCATTTTATTTATTTATTTATTTATTTTTTTGAGACGGAATCTCGCTCTGTCGCCCAGGCTGGAGTGCAGTGGCGCCATCTTTGCTCACTGCAAGCTCCGCCTCCCAGGTTCACGCCATTCTCCTACCTCAAACTCCCGAGTAGCTGGGACTACAGGCGCCCGCAACCACGCCCGGCTAATTTTTTGTATTTTTAGTAGAGACGGGCTTTCACCGTGTTAGCCAGGATGGTCTCGATCTCCTGACCTCGTGATCTGCCCGCCTCGGCCTCCCAAAGTGCTGGGATTACAGGCGTGAGCCACCGCGCCCGGGCTTTTTTTTTTTTTTTTTTTTTTTTTTTTTAATTTCAGCCATTCTAAAGGGTGACGTCGCACTGTGGTTGTAATTTACATTTCCCTAATGGCAGATGTGGAGCATCTTTACTTGTGCTTCATTTATGCATAGGCATCCTTAAGACACACACACAGACACACACACACACACACACAATTATGATTGTGTACAGTGTCACCATGGGAAGTATTTGCAGTCGCTGGGGATGGAAGACTTTTACGTTGTACCTTCTACTCTTCTTTATGTGCCATTGAAATTTTGTCAAAAGCATGTTAATTTTGAATTTTTAAAACAAGTTAACTTTAAAAAAAATTTCCTCCTATAGATAAAACCATCTCTATGCTTTATGAATTCTCTAATAGGGCTTCATATGCAAAATATAAGTAGAGTAGATTACTCCGATAACCACAGGGTAATCTAGGATTCAAAGGCCATTGTGTTCAATTCTAGAAAAAGTTCTCTCCTATCCATCTCTTCTTTGTAACTCCCCTAGTTCAGACGTCATCATAAGATAAGACAATGTTATTTATTTCACCTATTTCAAAACTCCATAACCCACCACTTTGATCACTTTAATAAAAAAAATGTCTGGGCGCGGTGGCTCACGCCTGTAATCCCAGCACTTTGGGAGGCCAAGGTGGGCAGATCCCCTGAAGTCAGGAGTTCCAGACCAGCTTGGCCAACAAGGCAAAACCTCTTCTCTATTAAAGATACAAAAATTATCCGGGTATGGTGGCACTTGCCTGTGGTTCCAGCCACTTGGGAGGGTGAAGCAGGAGAATTGGTTGGACCTGGGAGGTGGAGGTTGCAGTGAGACAAGATGGTGCTATTGCACTCCAGCCTAGGTAACAGCACAAGATTCTGTCTCAAAAGAAAAAAAAAAAACCTTAGAAGGGGAGCAATATAAACTTTTAATTTTAATTTCAAAATTCAACCCTCACCACAAAGGGATACCGTAACACACCTATTAGAATGCCTGACATTGGAACACTTGAACATACCAAGCGTGGGTGAGGATACAGAACAACTGGAACTCACATACAAGACTGGTGGGAATCCAAAATTGTACAACCAATTTGGAAAGCTTTTTGGCAGCTTCTTTAAAAGTTTCAGCCAGGTGCAGTGTCTCACACCTGTAATCACGGCTACTCAGGAGGCTAAGACAGGAGGATCACTTGAACCTGGGAGGTGGAAGTTGCAGTGAGCCGAGATCACACCATTGCACTCCAGCCTGGGTGACAGAGCGAGATTCTGTCTCGAAGGAAAAAAAAAAAAAAACAGTTTCAAAATACTCCTACCATATGACCCAGTTATTCCACTCCTAGGTATTTACTTGAGAGAAAGAAAAGCATACGTGCAAATACTTGTACACAAAAGTTGATAGCAGCCTTATCTGTAGTAGCTCCAGACTGGAACAATTCGCCATCAACATGTGGATGAATAAACAATATGAGATACAGCCATAAAATGGAATACTACTCAGCAACTTAAAATAATCAATATGGATAAATCTCGAAATAATAATGTGGAGTGAAAGAAATCAGCCAAAATATGAATACAAACAGTATGGTTCCCCATATATAAAATTAGAGAATGTGAAAACTAATCTATAATGACAGAAAGTGCATCAGTGGGTGCCTGGGGATGGGAGAGGGGCCACAAAGGGCATGGGAACAGGATTACAAAGAGGCTCAAGGAAACTTTTGGGGACAATGGATGTATTCATTATCGTGATGCTGGTGATGGTTTCCTAGGTGCATACAGATGTCAACACTTAAATTATCTAATTTAAATATGTACAGGTTATTATATGACAATTGTGCTTTAATAAAACCTGCTATCAAATTATGCTTTACTCATGCCTGTAATCCCAGCACTTTGGGAGGCCGAGACGGGCGGATCATGAGGTCAGGTGATCGAGACCATCCTATCTAACACGGTGAAACCCCATCTCTACTAAAAATAAAAAAAATTAGCTGGGCGTGGTGGCGGGTACCTGTGGTCCCAGCTACTCGTGAGGCTGAGGCAGGAGAATGGCGTGAACCAGGGAGGCGGAGCTTGCAGTGAGCCGAGATCGCGCCACTGCACTCCAGCCTGGGCGACAGAGTGAGACTCTGTCTCAAAAAAAAAAAAAAATTATGCTTTAATAAAACCTGAACCTTAACAATATCTGCCAAGTGTTTGACTTCCTTATATAAAATTAATAAACAAGAAGCCCTCCTAATGGCTTCAGACTATAGGACTGTGGGGTTTTTTTGTTGCTTTTGTTGTTTGAGACAGAATCTTGCCCTGTCACCCAGGCTAAAGTGCAGTGGCATGAACATGGCTTACTGCAGCCTTGACCTCCCAGACTCAAGGGCTCCTCCCACCACCGCCTCCCAGGTAGCTGGGACTACAGGCGTGTGCCACCACTCCTGGCTAATTTTTATATTTTTTGTAGAAAAAGTTTTTCTCCATACTGTCCAGGCTAGTCTCAAACTCCTAGGCTCAAGTGATCTACCCGCTTTGGTCTCCCAAAGTGCTGGGATTATAGGCATGAGCCACTGTGCCTGGACCAGGCCTGTGTTTTTTAAAATCTCTGAAGCATGAGATAATGGTGATGAGGAAGAAGTGCTGGAGATGCATGGACTGGCAGAACCCTTTTCTCCTCTCAACTGTTTCTCCTACAACCTATTGGTCAGCTAAATGCTGTAGTGTCCAAAACAGAAGCCATTAGCCACATGTGTCCGTTGAGCACTTGGAATGTGGCTAGTGAGGAGTTAAATATTTTATTTTATTTTACTCAATTCATTAATTGAACTAATTTAAAATTTAATGATAATAGCAACATGTCTAGTGGCTGCCACGTTGAACAGAACGACTATAAAGCACTTCTTGCTAGAAGTTTCTTTATCATTGTTCTGTCCCTGTCCAATTGCTATTTTATTTTATTTATTTATTTTTGGGGGCAGGGTCTGGCGATGTTGACAGACTGAAGTGCAGTGGTGCAATCATAGCTCACTACAGCCTCAACCTCCCAGGCGCAAGCAATCCTCCTCCCTCAGCCTCCCAAGTAGCTGGGATTACAGGTGTATGCTACCACACTCAGCTAATTTTTGTATTTTTTGTAGAGACAGGGTCTCACCATGTCTCCCAGGTTGATCTCAAACTTCTAACATCAAGCGATCCATCCACCTCAGCCTCCCAAAGTGCCTGGATTACAGGCGTGAGCCACACACCTGGCCCTGCTATTTTAGTTTTTTGTGTCCTCACAAAGATGTAGAGGAGACTTCTTCTATGAGGGACAAAGTGGGGGGACAGAGGGAAAAGCACACCTGAACTCCTCCACCAACTTGGACATAAACCCCTCCATCATCACGAAAGTTCTTTTGGTGGCTGGGCGCGGTAGCTCACGCCTGTAATCCCAGCACTTTGGGAGGCCGAGGCGGGTGGATCACCTGAGGTCAGGAGTTCCAGACCAGCCTGGCCAACATGGCGAAACCCCATCTCTACTAAAAATACAAAAATTAGCCAGGTGTGGTGGCTCACTCTTGTAATCCCAGCTACGTGGGAGGCTGAGGCAGGAGAATCACTTGAACCCGGGAGGCGGAAGTTGCAGTGAGCCGAGATTGCACCTCTGCACTCCAGCTTGGGTGACAGAGCAAGACTCCGTCTCAAAAAAAGAAGAAGAAGAAAAAAGAAAGTTATCTTGGCCCCTGCTGCTCTTGGTTTGCTGACCATGTTTGAACATGATAAATTTGAACCAACGTGAGAAATGAAATTTGCTGTCTGCTTACTTCCAAAGCCAAGAACTGAAGAGTGATTGAACTGCACTGACTGCCTGTCTTAAAATACACAAAGCAAATGCTACCATGAGTCAGCCAAGATCAAGCCCCGCTCCAGAATGCAGACTGTTCATCACTGCTCCAGAAACCAGGGAAAGACATCTGGGACTTCAGGCACTAGGGCTAGATTGTATGTGGAGAGTTGAAAAACTACAGAATGTACTCTTACATAATGGCTAAGGTTCCTCCACCGATAAATGCCAACTTTCCAGTGGACCACGGGAAATTGTCTATTTTGGGCCACTCCGTGGGAGGCCATGGAGCTCTTACTCATGTTGTGAAGAATCCTGGAAAGTGCAAATCTATGGCAGCATTTGCTCCAATTTGCAACCAGTTCTCTCTTTTTGGAGGGTGGAGGTGGGGATGGGGCAAAAATCTCTCAATGGATATTTGAAATCAGATCACAAAAATAAAAGGCTTATGATGCTGCCATTCTTAGAAAGTTCTATTCAGGTTCTGGTTAGACGTAATCAAGGAAATGATGATGAAACATTTCAGCAAGATAGCTACTTCCTTACACCAACTGTTTTTAGATTTCAAGAGGCTTATAATTAGTTACTTTTCTTTGCAATCTTCATTAACGACCACATCAGACTTCATGCAAAATACCTGAACGCAGGAAATATCAGACACTGAAGTCTCTTCTGAATTATATGTTAGAATAAAGGAAAATGCAGTTATTGTATTTCAAAATATGAGTTTTTATGACCCTAAAAGATCTTCATTCATAATAGAATCATCTTCAAAATAAATGTACATAATACAAACAACACAAAAAGTTCAAATATATACTCATGGTTTTAGAAAGTGTATCAACCTTCAAAATGTTTGAATGGTCCCGTCCAGTTACTTAGACTTTTCCATAGTTCCTTTATTCGTTTATTTATTTATTTATTATTTATTGAGGTGGAATTTTGCTCTTGTTGCCCAGGCTGGAGTGCAATGGTGCGTTCTTAGCTCACTGTAACCTCTGTCTCCCAGGTTCAAGCGATTCTCCAGCCTCAGTCTCCCAAGTAGCTGGGATTACAGGCATATGCCACCACACCCAGCTAATTTTTAAAAATATTTTTAGTAGAGATGGGTTTTCACCATGTTGGCCAGGCTGGTTTCAAACTCTGGACCTCAAGTGATCCGCCCGCCTTGGCCTCCCAAAGTGCTAGGATTACAGGCATGAGCCACCTCGCCCAGCCTGCTTGCTTTCTTTTCTTTTCTTTTCTTTTTTCTTTTCTTTTCTTTTCTTTTCTTTTCTTTTCTTTTCTTTTCTTTTCTTTTCTTTTCTTTTCTTTTCTTTCTTTCTTTCCGTCTCTCTCTCTCTTTCTTTCTTTCTTTATTTTTAGATACAGAGTCTCTCTCTGCCACCCAGGTTGGAGTGCAGTGGTGCGATCATAGCTCACTGTAGCCTCAACCTATAGAGCATAAGTGATCCTCCCACCTCAGCCTCCTGAGTAGCCGGGGCGACAGACACTGTGCCATTGCACCTTGCTATTTTTTTTTTTTAATTTTCTGTGGGGACAGAATCTCCCTCTGTTGCCCAGGCCAGTCTTGAACTCCTGGGTCCAAGCAATCCTCCCTCTTGGCCTCCCAAAGTGCTGGGATTATAGGGATGAGCCAACTCGCCCAGCCAATTGCTTTTTTAAAAATGTGGAGCAGATAGGTCTTACTTTACAGATTTCTTTGACGCTTTTTATAAAGTTGTAGTAAATTATTCAAGATTTGGCTGAAGATGAGTTTTGTTGCATAAAGAATGAATTTTCACTGCTGCATATGTGAGAAGTAAGAAATTAATCACTTTTTTTTTTTTTTTGAGACAGAGTCTAGCTCTGTCACCAGGCTGGAGTGCAGTTGCGTGATCTTGGCTCACTAAAACCTCCGCCTCCCAGGTTCAAGTGATTCTCCTGCCTCAGCCTCCTGAGTGGCTGGGACTACAGGCACGCCACCACACCCAGCTAATTTTTGTATTTTTAGTAGAAACGGGGTTTCACTGTGTTGGCCAGGATAGTCTCGAGCTCCTGACCTCTTGATCTGCCCGCCTCAGCCTCCCAAAGTGCTGGGATTACAGGCGTGAGCCACCGTGCCCTGCCCATCACTCTTTTTTTTTTTTAGAATCAACTTAGATTCAAGACCCTGGAATTTTTCTTCTTCATTAGGTCAGAAACCGGAAATACCAACTTTATTCCATTCTGTGCCATAGAATTATCTCTTCCCAGATACTGCCCCTCTTCCCAGGCATTTTGCAGAGGTGCCATTGAATTTGTTTCGTCACTACTAGGAGAAATCCACAGAATTGTAGTTAGGTGGCTACTGAAGTTTCAAAAATGCAGAATTTCACCCATTAATGTTTTTATTATTCTTAAAACGTGAAATTAAAAAGGTAGCCTCACCAGACTCTTTCAATTTCAATTCAAGATTACTTTCAGCGAGACCTGCCACGTGGTCATGGAAAGTCGACTTGAAAGATTTTGTTCCAGCCAGGCCCTGGTTCCATGGGCCAGTGATGCCCGCAGCCCAGCCAGCCATGCTCGCCATCCTGGCACCGTGGGCTGTCTTGGTTCTGTCTGTCCTCACTGGCCGCATAGTGCATTCTGCCTTTCCTGCTGCCTGCTCCTGGGCCTGCCTGCATGTGCACATTGCTGTGGGGCCCCCATGGGAATCCTCACCTCTTTTGTCTCAGTCACTGCGCCTCCAGTTTGCCAAGTGTCCAGCTCTTATGAATCCCTGGAAAGTAGAAGCCTGGGGAAAGAGCCAACACCAAGGAGGCCCCCAGCTCCCTTCTTCACACCACCGTTCCACTCACTATTAACAGATTTGATGGGGCCCATAGAACTTCTGAAATGCTATGAGTGAACATATGCTGTCTCTAAAGCATAGAAAACCCAGCTGCTTCTAGTACCATATGAAATCTTATTCAAAAGAACAGAAGTGGCTGGGCATGGTGGCTCATGCCTGTAATTCCAACACTTTGGAAGGTTGAGGCAGCAGGATCACTTGAGGCCAGGAGTTTGAGACCAGCCTGGGCAAAAGAGTGAGACCTCATCACTACAAAAATTAAAAAATTAGCATAGTGCATGCCAGTAGTCCTAGCTACTTGGGAGGCTGAAGTAAGAGGATTGCTTGGGCCCAGGAGTTCGAGGCTACTGTGAGGTATGATCCCACCACTGCCCTCTACCCTGGGTTACAGCATGAAACCCCATTTAAAAAAAAAAAAAGAAAAGGAAGAAAGGGAGGAAGAGAAGGAAGGAAGGAAGGAAGGCCAGGTGTGGTGGCTCATGCTTGTAATCCCAGCACTTTGAGAAGCCAAGACAGGTGGATCACTTGAGCCCAGCAGTTTGAGACTAGCCTGGCCAACATGGCAAAACTCCATCTCCACAAAAAATACAAAATTTAGCTGGGAGTGATGGCACACACTTGTAGTCCCAGTTACTCAGGAGGCTGAGGAAGGAGGATTGCTTGAGCCTAGGAGGTAGAAGCTGCAGTGAGCAAAAATTGCACCACTGCACTCCAGCCTGGGTGACAGAGTGAGACCTCATCTCAAAAATAAAATAAAATAAAAATTTAAAGGCTTTAATAAATTTTAAGAGAAAGGAAGGGAGGAAAGAGGGAGGGAGGGAATGAGAGAAGAAAGGAAGGGAAGGAAGGAAAGAAGCAAGGAAGGAAGGAAGGAGGGAAGGGAGGGAGGGATGGGGGAAGGAGGGAGGGCAGGATGGCAGAAGCTAATTAAGATATAGTTGACAAATAAAAATTGTATACAGATGCTCCTTGACTTACAGTAGGGCTATGTCCCAATAAACCCATGGTAAGTTGAAAATATTGTGAATGGAAAATGCACTTAATACCCCAGATAAACCCATGGTGAAGTCAAACATCCTAAGTCAGGACTGTCTGTGTATTTACCCAAGGTGTACAATGTGATGTTTCTATATACGTATACACTGTGAAATGGTTACATCAAGCTGGTGAACATACCCATACCTCACATACTTACTTTTTGTTGTGGAGACATTGAAGATCCAGCCTCTCAGCAATTTGCAAGTACATAATACATTATTATTAACTGTGGTCACCATGCTACACAATAGATCTCCAGGACTTGCTCCTCCTCTCTAACTGAAACTTTGTACCCTTTGACCAACATCTCTCCATGCCCCACCCTAGCCCCTGGCAACCACCATTCTACTCTCTGCTTCCCAGTTCAACCTTTTGAGATTCCATAAGCTGAGTCTTTATTGTAGACTCAGATATTCTTGTGCGAGCACTGATGAGATGACTACCCCAAAGCCGACATGGTGTAATCAAAGTGTGCATGCTGATACATTTCCTTAGTTCAGGAATTTCCCCGGTGTGATCAAGTTCTCATGTCGGCAGCTGAGAAAGCCACTGACAGCTGGGGAGCTATTTTCTCCTTTAGTCACATGATGATAGAGATAATCCTGGATGGGAAGTGTGGGGGAGAGAAGGAGGAGAATGTTCGTTGTTCTGTCCAGAATTGGTAAGGGGGCTCCTAGAGCTTCCTTTCCTGTAGACTCAGCATCTAAATAACTCGTGATGTTATCTTGTACGTTCAATGAGAAACAACTGGATCAGATCAACAAAACACTTGAGGTATCAGAAAGAAGCCTCAGGTTTTAAAAAATCAGCCTTATTTTTCTTTTGTTGTTTTTTTGTTTTTTTGAGACGGAGTCTCACTCTGTCACCCAGGCTGGAGTGCAGTGGCACGATCTCGGCTCACTGCAACCTCCGCCTCCTGGGTTCACGCCATTCTCCTGCCTCAGCCTCCCGAGTAGCTGGGACTACAGGTGCCCGCCACCATGCCCGGCTAATTTTTTGTATTTTTAGTAGAGACAGGGTTTCACCATGTTGGCCAGGATGGTCTCGACCGCCTGACCTCGTGATCTGCCTGCCTCGGCCTCCCAAAGTGCTGGGATTACAGGTGTGAGCCACCGCGCCCAGCCAGCCTTATTGTTATTTTTAAGGATCATTGCAAAAAATATTTCATCCAGATTGCATTGTTGCCAAAAACTGAGGAACCCATAACACTCAATAGAATATTGTTTTCCAAGCGTGAGGTCTGGCCAGGACAATTATTCAAAGTTAATCCCTCTTGTTTTGGTCATTAACAAAACAATGATGATGGAACTAAAACAGGCAGAAACTTGGATATCTAGAGTTGGTCTTTGTAAAACGTTTGTATGTACCCTGACTAGGAATCTCCCTGACTGGAGGGAGAGTTACTGTTTTGGAATTTTCCACTGGCTGTCTTAGAGATTCCATGGAATTTACAGGTTAATCCACTCTTTATTTTGTATATATTAAACATTATAAATATTCTGTATTTAATGCTGCTAGGTATATAATATGCACAGTATATACAATATTAAATTCATAATACACCACTGGCTTTCATTTATTGTTTAAGATTGCTTTTGGACAATCAAAGTTTCTTCTAGGCAATGCATATTTTCCCTATTTTGTCCTAAGTGTTATGTGTCACAATATTTACTTCAAGTGATATTTATTGAGAGCCGTCTATGTGCCAGGTGTGTGATATTTGGGCATTTGTTTCACTTCAGAGGGGGTTGTTAATTTCGGCTAAGTTCTGGGTAGACTTCTCCACACCTCTCAGTTTTCTTTCTTTGCCCTTGCCTGATGCCCCATTTCTAGCAATAGTGTAAAAACTTACTTCTGCCATGATTAAATGAGAGGGGCAGGATTCTACTCAATACTCACAATTTTATCTTTAAAACTGAAATCTAATGCTTTTTTTTTTTTTTTTAACGGAGTCTTGCTCTGTAGCCCAGGCCCAGGCCAGAGTGCAATGGCATGATATCTGCTCACTGCAACCTCTGCCTCCTGGGATCATGGAATTCTCCTGCCTCAGCCTCCCAAGTAGCTGTGATTACAGGCACCTGCCACCACGCCTAGCTAATTTTTGTATTTTTAGTAGAGACAGGGTTTAGCCATGTTGGCCAGGCTGGTCTCGAACTCCTGGCCTCAGGTGATCCACCCGCCTCGGCCTCCCAAAGTGCTGGGATTACAGGCATGAGCCACCACGCCCGGCCTGAAATCTAATTCTTGATTTCAACTATAGATTATGGCTTCTCTTTTAACTTACAACTACAAAATATACCACATAGAAGAGATATGAAGAGAAATGAAAGAATACACAAATACATGCTGTTAGGATGATGTGATATTTTTATCTGTTCTATATTTTCATTACTTTTAAGATTCTATATTAAAATGGAAAATAAATAAACTTGCTTTCTTACTAATAAAACCTAACCATTGGCCTTAGGCAATTTCACCCTCTGAAGCCTTCTTTATACTCAGAGTACAAGTGTTAAATATCATATTGGTAGCTTTTTCTGGATTCAAATTGGCCTACAGGTCTCTTACATTCTCTCGAATAATTTCTCTTCCTCAGACTGTCTCTAAATTTTGATGTCTGGCCTTTCTCTTATTAATTTTGCTATCAAAACCATTACCATATTTCTTCTCAATAATTGGAATTTTTATAAAAACATGTTAAATGCTTTTGGCAATCGTTTTATTTCCTACATTGTTTAAGATAAACTTGCCGGCTGGGCACGGTAGTTCACGTCTGTAATCCCAGCACTTTGGGAGGCCAAGGCGGGCAGATCATGAAGTCAGGAGATCGAGACCGTCCTGGCGAACACGGTGAAACCCTGTCTCTACTAAAAATACAAAAAATTAGCAGGGCATGGTGGCGGGTGCCTGTAGTTCCAGCTACTCGGGAGGCTGAGGCAGGAGAATGGCATAAACCCAGGAGGCAGAGCTTGCAGTGAGCTGAGATCGTGCCACTGCACTCCAGCCTGGGCGACAGAGTGAGACTGTCTCAAAACAAAACAAAACAAAAAGATAAACTTGCCTATTTCTCTATAAGTCCCGACTTTACATCTGGATTTGTTTCATTAAGCAAACTAATAAAACTATAGACTCACCACTGATTGCATATCATGAACTGTCCTTGTTCAGGAACACTATGTATAGCTGTGCGGGTGGCTTACGGATGAATGGAGGATATTTGCTAACAGGTGACAAGAGGAAGAGACACCACATGGGCTGGTAGCAGCCCTTTCCTTAGGATTGTGAAATAACATAAAAGACATTTGAGATATCTATGGCCTTGCTTTTAGGCACTTATGGGTTGATAGGGGACACTTAAAAAACAGAAAACAGAAGAAGTTTAGGATAGTACTTTCTTTCTAATTTAATGAATAAACTGTAAATTTCAAAGGTATTTAAGGAAGGAAGAGATGCAAGTGGACTGAAGCATTCAGGTACAGTTCTAAAAGTCAGTGACATTGCCGGGCGCGGTGGCTCACGCCTGTAATCCCAGCACTTTGGGAGGCCGAGGCGGGCGGATCACGAGGTCAGGAGATCGAGACCATCCCGGCTAAAACGGTGAAACCCCGTCTCTACTAAAAATACAAAAAATTAGCCGGGCGTAGTGGCGGGCGCCTGTAGTCCCAGCTACTTGGGAGGCTGAGGCAGGAGAATGGTGTGAACCCGGGAGGCGGAGCTTGCAGTGAGCCGAGATCCCGCCACTGCACTCCAGCCTGGGCGACAGAGCGAGACTCTGTCTCAAAAAAAAAAAAAAAAAAAAAGTCAGTGACATTTAAAAAAGATGATTATGTTAGTTAAGATCAGTGGTCTTATCTATTTTTAGTTACATAAATTTTATGTGGGGACAATTTTATCCACAAGGTAGATTATTAGAGACACACACAGTGGTTTGAGTGGTGTCAGGCACCTCCTTCCTCTTCTCAAATACCTTCTTCTAACCCACCCCGACTTCAATACCTGGAATCTGAGTTAAGGTACGGCCATCATAAATGGTCTTTTAAAAAAGAAGATATTTCCAAAAGGCTAAACCTACCAAACATGATCTACCCAGATGATTCTGATGAATGAGGCTGTTTGTGTCTCAGGTCAAACAGGCCCTCAGGAGAAGATCTGGAGAAGAGACCATAGAAGCCGGGATGCCATCTGATACAGCAGCCTGTGGTTTTGTTTAGTTTGGTTCAGTTATCCATGGTCATCTGTAGCCTGAAGATATTATATGGAACATTCCATAAATACACAATTTTAAATTTCAAACTGTGCTCCATTCTGAGTAGGGTGATGAAATCTCAAGCCATCCTGTTCCATCCTGTCCATTTGTGAATCATCCCTTTGCCCAGTATATTTATGCTGTCTAACAAGCTTGTCCAGCTTGGGGCCTGTGAGCCACACATAGCCTAGGATGCCTTTGAATGTGGCCCAACACAAATTCGTAAACTTTCTTAAAGTATTATGACACTTATATATATATATATAATTTTTTTTTAGCTCATCAGCTATCATTAGTATTTTATGTGTGGCCCAAGACAATTCTCCTTCTTCCACTGTGGCCCAGGGAAACCAAAAGATTGGATACCCCTGCAGTCCAAGCTATCTGCGTGTTGACATCATCGGCTCCTGCGTCCAACCATAGCCATGGTAATGACTCCATGATCCAGTGTCACTGATATGGTTTGGATCTGTGTCCCTACCCAAATCTCATGTTGAATTGTTATCCCCAGTGCTGGAGGTGGGGTTTGGTGGGAGGTAATTGGAGCATGAGGGCAGTTTCACATGGTTTGGCACCATCCTCCCTTGGTGCTGTCCTGCGATAGTGAGTTTTCGTGAGATCTGGTTGTTTAAAAGTGTGTGGCCCCTCCCTCCTCCCCTTGCTCCTGCCACTTAAGATGCCTCACTCTCCCTTTGCCTTCCACCATGATTGAAAGCTCCCTGAGGCCTCACTGGAAGCAGAAGCCGCTATGCTTCCTGTACAGCCTGTAGAACCATGAGACAATTAAACATCATTTCTTTATAAATTACCCAGTCTTGGGCATTTGTTTATAGCAATGCAAGAACAAACTGATAAAATCACTCAAAGCAGGTGACTTGTCTTCTGACATAATCATCAGAAGATGAATAGTAGCCTGACACGCCATCACAATGCCTACGTCATTCACCTCAGCTCATTAAATCCCACAGGCATTTTATCATCTCACATCACCACAAGAAGAAGAAGGGCAAGTATACTACAATGAGATATTTTAAGAGAGGGAGAAGGACTACATTTACATAACTTTTACAACAGTATATTGTTATAATTGTTCTATTTTATTATTAATTGTTATCACTGATCTCTTACTGTACTTAATTTATAAATTAAACATAATAGGTACATATGTATAGGAAAAAAAATACTGTATAGAAGCCTCAATACGAATCTGTGGTTTCAGGAATCCATTGGGGGTCTTTGAACGTATCCTTCGTGGATACGGGGGGACTACTGTACTGTATAAGCTTTATAGAATGTTGAGGTCCTGGGTCACCTCCTCTGTTGAGATTCTAGCAAAGCCCCTTACATAAAAGAGTTCATAAAAAGTTTTATTTCATATAAACAAAGGTAAAAGAGCAGTAGAATCATTCTAACCATAGGTTAAATAGGGAAAAAAGGATTTTTCCCCTGAGTCTACTGTGTTATCAGCCCTTGAGTTCAGCCTTCGCTGTTGCAATTGGAGTGTAATCCATGGGGACAAACTCAGTACAGAGGAGGTGGCTCAGAATGCAAGGACAAGGGCACAAGGTGGAAGAAGAGACCAGAATACTTTTAGCAATGACAAGGAAGGAGACATCAACTCAAAAGAAATATGCAGGACAAAGGAGATGACGGGAGAAATTTTGAGGTAGAGGGGAGAAAAGTTGAAGGAGTAGAAGTTAACACAGTTATCAGCCTCCTTGTCTGGCACATCATGAGATCATGGGCTAAGGAGAAAGGCAGGTTTGGGCTGGAATCTCAAGGGGAACTGAAAAGATTTAGAAAAGCCCAGCTACTGTCCTCTTCTTTCCAATTCCACTATTTTCTGACCTAATCCTGTACAAGAAAATGTTATCAACAAATACGTAGTCAGTGATCTTCATGTGTCTGGCCTGAGAAAATAGCAATTAACCAAACAGACCTAATCCCCATTTTCCTGGAATGTATAGGTCCAATTGGAAAATATGGACAATAAGTATCAAAGAGTTGTGAGGAAGAAGTGTTCACTGGGGGCTAGCCCTTTTGGGGAGACATCATATAGCAGACAGATGCTATGACAGGGCTAGTTAAGGGAAGAGTTCAGGCTTCAAGTTGAGGCTCGTTACTTTCCCCTCCAGACTAGCTAGTTATTTCTTAGTGGATTTCCCTGCCTCCTATCTCTTTCCAGTCCTATATACCACCACCAAACTAACCATTGCTATCATGATTATGCTCAAAAATGGTCAATAGTCCCCCAGTGCCTACTACTTAGGCTTCAAACATTTTAGGCTGAGATTGAAGGCCTCTACCAGCCAGGGCCTAACCTTCCTTCCATACCTGGCTTCCACAGCCCTCCAATCCAGCTAAACTCACAGACTGTCCTTCATACATGCCATCCTTTATTACCTCTCCACTTTTGTCCCTGCCCATCATCTTGAGGGTTTTTCCTCCACAATCCACTCTTAATGTCTCATTTCCGCATGAAGACTCAACTTTCATGTCCATCAGAAAGTGTTCTCTAATCCCCAGTCTAGAAGCAACCTTCCTTTCTTCTGAACATCCATGGAAATTTGTTCATACTTCTTTTAGAATGTTTTTTACGACATTCCTAGAACTGTGGTTATTTTTATACTCTTCACATCTTCCTACTATATTATCAACCTAAAGACAGGATTTGTGGCTCATCCACTCTTAGACTCCATAATACTTTATACTCCAATAAAAAACAGATGTAGCTAAGGAAATACTGTGCTAATGTTTGTTGAAGTTAGTGCTAAAAAAAAGTCATATGAATGGATGCTTGGAACTTCCCTGTGATCCTGCACACATTGATTCTTATGGATATATATTTTTTCTGCATTTCTGGAACACAAATGTTCTAAATGCATACATACTTCATCCATCCATCCATTCATTCATTATTTAATACAAACATATTGAATGCCCGCCATATGCAAGGTATCCACAGGATAGGGAGGGTGCTGGCTCTGGCTTTATGCAATGTACGCACTCATTGATCAATGTTTATGTCATTTTGTTTCCCTTCTTTCCAGACAAAGGGAAGCAAAGACTCACTGCACCTCATTACTGTCAGCAGAGAGCAATGTGTAATTGGAATGACCTTTGTATAAGTGCTGACCTATGGGGTCAGAATAAGCCTTATAATGTACAGAACCAACTTATGTGCAATTTTAACATCGACAGAGAATATTGGCCTTTAAGAAATTCATCTCATATTTATTGTTTGGAGATTTTACTTTCAGAAGATATCAGTTACATTTCCCCTCTTTTTTTCTCTTTTCTGCAATTATTTTCCTGGCATTCATTCAATAAAGAGCTTCAAGTCACTTTTTTAGACTGAAATAAACTTTGATGAAAATTGAAAATCAATGCTTTCCTTCTAATGACGTTAAGAGAAAAGCCTCCAATTTTGCAATTATAATCAATATATAAAGGGGAAGTGGCCACAAATATGCTGCACATCTTAAGAAGCCAAGTGGGTTTGGTTACTTTAATTTTTAAATAATCAGGACATTTAAAAAGTTGCTGTTTATAAAATACTTTTTAAAAATGTCATCACACGCACTATGAGTGCACTCAGTCTTGATGTCTCGCTAAAGCATTAGCTGTCTAGCTCCTTCTCCTCCCAGAGCCTTTATCCTCATATTGGGTCTGGGGACACACATGCCGTCTCTTGATTCCTAAGGATCCATTACCCATTTCTCTGCACAGATCTTCGGGTATCCAACCTATCTGTGCCTCCTTCAGCCAGGAGCCTCCGGATCTTTCCAGACTTCTTTGCAATACTGCCTCATGCACTGAATCCATTTCTCGCATAGCCTGGCGCTTGGCAGGCAGGCTGGCGTTCCCTGGCTCTGCCTTCCCCATCTCCCTGTCTTTTCTCCCACGGCCCATCTGCCCCTCCTTTCCTCCACCCCCTTCTCCTCTCTGCTCCCCTTTATTTCCACTCCCCACCCGCGTGGCTTTGCTCTCCCTCTCCCCCCTCAGCTCGTCTGTATTTGGAGCTCCGGAAGCTGCCGGCGACTCTCCCCTGGAGCAGCGTGACTGACACCGGCTCCTATTCAGCTGGGAGGAGGGAGAGGGGAGGAGAAGGGGAGGGCCGCGGGAGGAGGGTACGAGTGGCCGACCACGGATTTGCATTGCCGAGGACGGGACCCCAGGGCAGCGAAGCAGGTAATCCTGCAGCGGTCGGGGCCCGGCGAGGCGGGGAGGGGTCGGGGTGCAGGTGCGGGGGGCGCCTGGCGGCGGGCGCTGGCAAGTTGAGCCCGATGGGTGGGGTAGGGAAGCGGCCGGGACGCTGCGGCTGTGGCAGCAGCGCGAGGGGAATAAAGGCGGCGCGGGCGCGGGGGCCGGGGCGCGGCGACCCGGGCGCGGGGCGCGGGCGCGGGCGGACTCCCATCTGGGTCAGCGGAGCGGCGCGCCCTGCCCCCGCCTCCCCAGCTCCGGCGTCCTGGCCGCTCGGAAGGCGGGGTGCGGGCAGGAGCTGCCCGGGGTTGGCGGGCGGCCGCGGCCTCCCCACCCCAGCGCCGCCGCCCGCCCGGCCGCTCTAACTTTGGGGGGTCTCGTCCACCGGGCTGTGAGTCTTCCAGGGGGGTGGGGGTGGGAGTCATTGCGCCGGCTCTGACCAGAGCCACCTCGATCAGAAAGTGCTGGAAAGAAACAGACCTGGCTTCCCCTCTGCAGAACCTGACTTGAGGCGATGAGTCACTTCTAAAAAATGCAGAGGCAACTGAGACTGGGGGAACGGCTCGGAAAAACGGCACCCGCCGCTGGCTCTCTGACTGCTTTGGGTAGAGGGGTGTTCGTGGAAGTAGCCGCCGTATCATCACTTTTAGGGCCAAAAATCAACCTGCAGATGGCCTTTTCTTTATTCTCATCAGAGTGGTGTTCGCTGCAAGTTGTAGCAATATTTGAATGGATGCATTCTTAAAAATGAGTATGTATGGGTGACTGCATTTAGGAAGTTGAACCGGGACTAGGTCCAAACAGCCAGAGTGGAGATGAACACTTGGTAAAAACATCTAGGACCTTTGGTTTTATAGTTATGGAAATGCAGAAGCTTCTGGGACTTGAGCACTGTAGTTTACTGAGTACTCCTATTTCCTTACTGCTTCTGTAGATTTCATTGAAGCTATGTTCCTTAGAATTCTTGGTAAACTATCTAAGCCCACTTAGTGTAAAATTACAACGGTAGAGTGAACTTTAGAGAATTGGATTTATAGTTACTAGAGTCTAATTAGACTGCAAGCCTCTTGAAAGCAAGGATGGGTTGTTTGGTAGTTCCTACGGCACCAAACAGTATTTGGCTCACAGCATGTAATGGATAGACAATAAAAGTGTGTGAAATAGTTAATTCAGTACCTTAAGTGTAGATGGAGCATGACTTCTTGAATATACTGCATATTTTGCAAGGAAAGGCGACTTCTCCATGAATCCCGAAATTTAAAAAATTCTTAATAACATTACAATCAAAGTGTCATATAAATACTTCTTAAGGATAAAGAGAAAAAGAAGTTGACTATGAGAAATCAGGAAGGTGATTATCAAGGTGGTCTTTGCTAGTAGGAAGTAAGTTTTTGTTCCCCATCGTTAATGTGAGAAGTAATTTAATTTGTTGATACAGGGTAGGGTTTGGTAAACCTTTGAGTTAAGAGCTAGATAGTAAACATGTAGGTTTTGCAGGCCATATGGTCTCCTTAGCAACTACTCAGTTCCACAGTTATAGTTTGAAAGCAGCTAAAGACAATACCTAAAGGAATGGTATGTTTGTGTTTTACTTTATTTACAGACATTGAACCTTGAACTTTTCACCAGTAACAAAATATTCTTCTGTTTTTTTCCAGGCATTAAAAAATGTAAAAACTATTCTTAGCTTGAGGGAGGAGCAGAAAACACAAAAGTAAGAGAGAAGGGAATGGATTTGTCCTTCTAGTAGTAGTTTGCTACTCCCACTGATTGATTCTGTGCTAGAATCTGGAGAGGAGCCTATTGAAAGGATTAATGGGCCACATTCTCTTGAGTGCCTGTTATACCTTGGCAGTTAAGTTAAATACCCTCCAGAAAAGCATTAACTTATTTTGAGCATTATGGAGTTTTGTTTTGTTTTGAATATTTCCTAACATCTTTATTCATGAGGTTTTGTTTTGTTTTTAATTTATTATGTAACATTTTATATGTAAAAATAATACGCTAAGTCTAGGTGAGTTATGAACATTATGTTCAACTGAACACCTGTGAACCCATCACTAGGTTTATAAACTAGGGCTTAAGAACTAGATAGTTGTGAAAAGATAGCTCATAGAATGGGAGGAAATATTTAGGAATCATGTATCTGATAAGGGTCTTGTATCCACAACATATAAAGAGTTCTTACAACTCAATAATAAAAAGAAAAATAATCCAATTTAAAAATGGGCAAAGGATCTGAATAGCTATCTCCAAAGAAGATATACAAATGGCCAATAAACCCATGAAAAGATACTCAACATCATTATTCATCAGAGAAATGCAAATCAAAACCACGATGGGATACCACTTTATACTCACTAGCATGGCTATAATCAAAAAGTCAGATAATAACAAATACTGGTGAGGATGTGGAGGAATTGGAACCTTTGTACACCACCGATGGGAATATAAGATGGTGCCCTCACTTTGGAAAAGTTTGGCAGTTCTTCAAATTAAACATAAAGTTACCATATGACCTAGCAATTCCATTGTAAATATATGTCCAAGAGAAATTAAAACATATGCTCACAAAAAAACCTGTACACAGATGTTGACAGCAACACCATTTATAATAACCAAGAGGTGGAAACAAACCAAATGACTATCAGTTGATGAGTGGATAAATAAAAGGTGGTATATCCATACAGCGAGATATTATTTGGCCATAAAAAAGAGTGGAGTACTGATACATGCTACAACATCGATGAATCTTGAAAACATTATGCTAAGTGAAAGAAGCCAGTCAAAATATCACGTACTGTATGATCTATTCATTTGAAAATGTCCAGACCAAGGAAATGTATACAGCTAGAAAGTAGATTTTTTGTTGCTTAGGGCTGAAGGGGCTGGAGGTGGGTTGAGTAGGGAAGTGATAGATAAAGGTCACAGGGTTTCTTTTTGAGGTGAAACATGAAAATATCCTCTAATCGACTATAGTGATAGTCGCACGTATCTGTGAATATACTAAAAACCATTGAGTTGTACACCTTTAATGGGTGAATTGTGTGGTATGTGAATTACATCTCAATAAAATTGTTAAAGAAAATAAACAGAAAACTAGGGGAAAAAGTACTAGATTGTTAGTATCCAGTTGCATCTTTGTGTTTTTCCTCTGTGCCTGCTCTCATGTCCCTCCCAACCCTGAATTTTGTGTTAATCATTCCCTGGTTTATTGTAAAACAGTTTTATCACATGTGTATGTATTCCAAAACAATAGTGTTTAGGTTTGTTTTTTTGGTTTATGAAAAAAGGTATTTATAATCTCGCATTCTCTTTTGAGATGGAGTCTCTCTCTGTCGCCCAGGCTGGAATGGAGTGGCACAGTCTCAGCTCACTACAACCTCCGCCTCTCAGGTTCAAGAGATGCTCCCGCCTCAGCCTCCTGAGTAGCTGGGATTACAGACGCGGGCCACCATGCCTGGCTAATTTTTGCATTTTTAGTAGAGAAGGGGTTTCACCATGTTGCCCAGGCTGGTCTCAAACTCCTGACCTCAGGTAATCTGCCGTTCTCGGCCTCCCAAAGTACTGGGATTACAGGCCTGAGCCACCGCACCCAGCCTAATCTTGCATTCTTAAAATTCAACATTAGGTCATTAAGAATTACCCACATTGGGCTGGGCGTGGTGGCTCACGCCTGTAATCCCAACATTTTGGGAGGCCGAGGCGGGCGCATCACGAGGTCAGGAGATCGAGACCATCCTGGCTAACGTGGTGAAACCCCATCTCTACTAAAAAATACAAAAAATTAGCCGGGCGTGGTGGCGGGCACCTATAGTGCCAGCTACTCGGGAGGCCGAGGCAGGAGAATGGCGTGAACCCGGGAGGCGGGGCTTGCAGTGAGCCGAGATCGCGCCACTGCACTCCAGCCTGGGCGACAGAGCGAGACTCCATATCAAAAAAAAAAAAAAAAAAAAAAAGAATTACCCACGTTGTTGCATGTAGGTATGTAATATTTCTTGGCAAATATTCCATGATTTATTTCACCATTCTTGTTGACAGGCATTTGGGTTGGTTCCCATGTTTTGCTATTACAAAGAATGCTGCTTTGAAGACTTTTTTTCCATGTGTCTTGGCACACATGTGCAAGAGTTCTTCACTGTGAATGTGCCATGTATTTTAATGGGAAAAAAAAAAAAAGAAAACCTGATTCTCCTTTGACTTACACATTGATGGCATGTAACCACTTACTCATTTCCCCAAACCAAGATAAAATGATTAGATCTGACATTCTGACTTCTCATCCTATTTACATTCTAGTTGTAAAAGTATTTCCCAACGTTTTAAGAAGTGTGGAAAATCTAAAATTTCACAACTCAATTTCACAGCAGAGCCTTTTAACCCGGTCACTCACGGACATCTTCATCTCCTTATATCACCTGGGTTTAGGATGAGAGGGAGGACAACTTTATTATTACATCAAAGGAACATTACTTTAATCAAAGTACATGAATAGTTACTAAACCTCATTAAAAGTTGCCTCGTATTGTATATCCTGCGGAGTGGTCTAGTATTTCCGATGTGATTTAGTTAGGTAAGTCTGATAACAATGAGCCTTGGGCAGATCTAGATCTGTCGTTGAGTTAGGCAGTGAGTTTTGCCATTCATTCAGGATATTTCTCCTTGAACTTAGAAGGAGGAAAGCACCTTAAAGTCAGAACAAACCATTATGAGGAATTTTAAAATTACTTTTACTATTTTAAGATATATATAAAATTTACGATTTTAAACTTTTTTTTTTTTTTGAGACAGAGTCTTGCTCTGTCGCCCAGGCTGGAGTGCAGTGGCACGATCTCCTCTCACTGCAAGCTCTGCCTCCTGGGTTCAGGCCATTCTCCTGCCTCAGCCTCCCAAGTAGCTGGGACTACAGGTGCCCACCACCACGCCCGGCTAATTTTTTGTATTTTTAGTAGAGACGGGATTTCACCGTGTTAGCCAGGATGGTCTCAATCTCCTGACCTCATGATCTGCCCACCTCAGCCTCCCAAAGTGCTGGAATTACATGCGTGAGCCACCGTGCCCGGTCCGATTTTAAACATTTTTAAGCATACTATTCAGTGGCATTAAGCTCATTCTCACTGTTGTGCAACCATTATTATTGTCCATCTCCAGAACTTTTTCATCATCTGAAACTGAAACTTTGTACCCACTAAATATAACTCTGGATTCTCCTCTTCCACAATCCATGGCAACCACCATTCTACTTTCTGTCCCTGAATGTGCCTATTCTAAGTACCTTATACAATATTTGTCCTTTTGCTACATGAGCTTTGTTTGTTTGTTTTTGAGACAGTCTCGCTTTGTCACCCAGGCTGGAGTGCAGTGGCACCATCTCGGCTCGCTGCAACCTCCGCCTCCCAGGTTCAAGTGATTCTCGTGCCTCAGCCTTCCCAGTGCTGGGATTACAGGCGCTTGCCACCCCACCCAGCTAATTTTTATACTTTTAGTAGAGACAGGGTTTTGTCATGTTGGCCAGGCTGGTCTTGAACTCCTGACCTCAGGTAATGCACCTGCCTAGGTCTCCCAAAGTGCTGGGATTATAGGGATGAGCCACCACGCCCGGCCTACATGAGCTTTTATATCCAGGGGAATTCCATCTTGTTTTGTTTCTGTCTTTAGTAGACACTTTTCCCACTTTAGGAAAATAATGGCTTCTTTCACTGAGAAATTATGTGAAGGGATTGTTTCCCTTTCAGTATACAGCCCTATACAGAAAGGGACATAGGACATTGTCTGAAACCAGAAGAAGAAATTATGACTATTATGAATGGGGTCTTCATCTGCCCTGTCTAGTTAATTAGGCATCTAATAATCCTGGCTTCTCATTGAACACTTAGCCACCTGCAGAAGGTGCACTAGCCCCTAATTCTTAAAATTTCACATTTACCTGATACATGGAGGAAGTAAATAACCTTTGATGTTCCTGTTAGCCCTCAGCTTTTCAGAATGTAAAGGCCATTCTGCAATATAGAAGTCTGATCTAAAATCTCTTTTGTTTTGATGGGAAGGGGTATTCTGAGAGGCTGAAGGAGGGTTCCAAGAGGCTGAACATAGAAGGGAGGTAACCTAAATGGCAGTTCTGAAGAGGAAGATGGTTCCTGGGGAAGTTAGATGCTGGAGACACCAAAGACAGACCTGTAGTGGCCGGGCATGGTGGCTCACGCCTCTAATCCCAGCACTTTGGGAGGCCAAGGCGGGTGATCACAAGGTCAGGAGATTGAGACCATGCTGGCTAACACGGTGAAACCCCATCTCTATTAAAAATACAAAAAAAAAAAATTAGCTGGGCATGGTGGCACGTGCCTGTAGTCCCAGCTACTTGGGAGGCTGAGGCAGGAGAATCGCTTGAACCCGGGAGGCGGAGGTTGCAGTGAGCCAAGATCATGCCACTGCATTCCAGTGTGGGCAACAGAATGAGACTCCATCTCAAAACACACACACACATACACACACAAAACAGACCTGTAGTACATAGACAGCTTTGTTGTCCTATTATTATGCACAGTTTAATGAGAAAATAACCTCTGTTACTTTGCATCATTCCATTTGGAGATCCAGAGAAATTCTGGGATCCATTGGTTGACTTACTCCCCCTATGTTGAGTGACTGCTATATCCCTAGCATCTGGGGATGCAAAAATGAAGATCAGTGAAGGAAGATAGAATGAATAGAAGATGACACTTAAGCTGTAAACATAAGTCACAAAGGATCTATTCGGATGATTGTCATCATTTCCTACTTTGTTTCTATTTAGTTTTAGTCAGAGAAGAATCACTGGATTCTTGGCCGGGCACAGTGGCTCATGCCTCTAATCCCAGCACTTTGGGAGGCTGAGGCGGGCAGATCACAAGGTCAGGAGATCAAGACCATCCTAGCTAACATGGTGAAACCCCGTCTGTACTAAAAATACAAAAAAAATTAGCCAGGCGTGGTGGCAGGTGCCTGTAGTCCCAGCTACTCGGGAGGCTGAGGCAGGAGAATGGCGTGAACCCAGGAGGCAGAGCTTGCAGTGAGCCGAGATCGCGCCATTGCATTCCAGCCTGGGCAACAGAGTGAGACTCCGTCTCAAAAAAAAAAAAAAAAGAATCACTGGATTCTTATGAAAATGAATTATTTTATCCTAAGGCAACAAGAACAGTTAAATTGGACCACACTAAGAAAATGAGATGATCAGATTTTTCAGAACCAGGTAAAATAGGCTTCCAAGTGTTGCATGTATAGTTCAGTCTGGTTATAGTGTGATATACTGGAGTTGGAGGCATCCATTTGTAATCTTAGCTTCGAAGCTGCTGTGGTCTGAATGTTTATGTCCTCCCAAAATTCTTATGTTGAAATCCTCACTGCCATTGTGATGGTATTAGGAGTGGAAGGCCTTGGGAGGTGAATAGGTCATGGGGTAGAGCACTCATGAATGGATTAGTGCCCTTATGAAAGAGAACCAAGGGAGACCCTTTGCTCCTTTCGCCAAGTAAGGACACAGCAAGAAAGTGCCATCTATGAGCCAGAAAGTGGGCCTTGATCTGCATTGATCTTGGACTTCCCAACCTCCAGAACTGTGAGAAATAAATTTCTATTGTTTATAAGCTATCCAGTCTGTGGTGTTTTGTTACAGCAGCCTGAAAGAAACTAACATAGTAACCTGTGTATTACCCAAACTGTGCAAGTGATAGATCAATATGATATAAGTGTGATCTTTCCATCGAATGTATACTGTCCTGGTATTGCTACTCACCCCTCTCCAGTGGCAGGAAAACCAAATGTCTGGCCTAATGAGTTAGGTTGATTGATGGACAGTTTCAACTGATTGGTTACTTGACATGAGGTAGGCTAAATGCAGATAGTCTATCTCTCGGCAGTCATGCTAGAAGCTGTGGCTAGAGATTTTCAGGGTACAATGCAGATCCACAATTATTTAGGCAATTTTTTTTAAGTTTACATTTTTATTTCTCCTCCATTTGAATTTCTTCTCTGTTTCTTAGTACTCCTCTCTGTGTTCAAAGTTCTCACTGTAGACAACCCTTCACTCCCCCTCCTTCCATCTTGCTTCAGAACAGCCTCTCTCTTCCTTAGGAATTCACTCCCCTCAATGCCTCTTTCTGAATGGAAGGTGGACAATTATCAATTGAAAGTCTTCAGTAATTGAAAATTTTAAAAAGAGACTTGTTAATAGTGTGAGTCTCTATATAATATATAATTGGGGATGGAACTCATTTTTATGCTTCTTATTTTGGTTCAGCAATCTTTAAACTGTGTGCATTTACTATATGCAAAGGTTTGCCAAAGGTACATGTGCACAGGTGCTTTGAGAATATAAAGGTCCAAATCCTCCTCTTCCATATGTGCTTTTTTCCTAAGACTAATCTTGATGAGAATGGACCTGTAATGGAGACGCAAGTTCTCTTTCCCATCTGCTTTTCCATAATCACCTTCCTCTTGCTTTCCTTGTGAAAAGCGTATGTCTACCCCATTTTCCTAATCCATTTTACTAAATGGTTTATGTCTAACCCATTTTAGTAAATTGCTTTGCCCAAGGATGTAAAACTCTAGGGGATGGGGAGGACAAAAAAGGGGGAAATTTCTGAGTATAAATTTCGTTTCAGGGGTGAGAAAGCAAATGACTGTAATGCCTGAGCAGAGACCCTTTTGCAAATCATGTGTTTTCTAAATCTATCTTAAAAAACAAAAAGTGAAGGCCAGTCTAATCAAATAGTAAACCGATATTAAAGGATAAACTCTAAAAAAGAATGAAATTTTGACTCTCATACAAATAAAAAATAGACATTTTCAAACTTATTTAAAAAATGAGAGAGCCAGAAAGGTTTTGCAGTCAGTTCAAAGGAGATCATTTATAAGAATGCTGGAATGAATTTGCTTAATACATGTAAAACTGGCTTCTTCCACAATGGGAGAGGGAAGGTGATTGGACTTCTACAGCATAAAGTTTATTTGCATGTCTGTATGACTTGCTTTACTATCAGTTTTCTGCAACTTAACTTATATCTCTACAGGGTTGTAAAATAGCTTAGTCAAACACAATGAATGACTGAGATGACCCAGATGAATAAGTATTAGGGTACTCATGAAATTTGTCTTCTCAATTTTTCCTTACATTGACAATTAAAATAAGTTTTGATATTTCACTACCATGTGATGTTGGAGTTCAAAAAATTAAGTGACATTTCTATAACAAAATTCCTCCCATTTCCATCTCCTCATTATGTTTCCCAGCATTACATTGATAAAAACAAAAAATAAGAATTAAATTGATGCTCAACATTGACCCATTTTATTTATTTTTATTTTATTATTATTATTTTTTATTGAGATGGAGTCTTGCTCTGTCACCCAGGCTGGAGTGCAGTGGCACGATCTTGGCTCACTGCAACCTCTGCCTCCTGGGTTTAAGTGATTCTCATGCATCAGCCTCCTGGCTAGCTGGGACTACAGGCGCGAGCCACCATGCCCGGCTAATTTTTTGTACTTTTAGTAGAGATGGGGTTTTACCATGTTGGCCAGGCTGGTCTCAAACTCCTGACCTCAGGTGATCCGCCTGCCTTGGCCTCCCAAAGTGCGGGGATTACTGGCGTGAGCCACAGCGCCCAGCCACCTGGACTCATTTTAATAAGTATACACATCCACATATCCATAAAGTTATGGAAAGTAAAAGTGTTCAAAAGAGAGAGATTTCCAATAAAGTTGCTTTTTATTTACTTTTAGTAATTATTTGTCAAAATTTGTAATATTTGTGTTGTTTTCTAAGTCACATCCTACTAATAGTAACAATGGTATCAGAATAGCTTTTTTTAAAAAATGTTTTGACCATTGAATTAGAATTTAAATTTAAATAATGTTTTTGATGCAGAAAAGTATGGTAGGCTAATGAGTAAAATAGGCTAAAGCATAAAATATGTAAAATTAAGATAAACTTCTGTAGGGCAAGAAGCGTGGAAATATAAGTTCAAGGAGAAAATGGAATTATGCAAAATTTGTGACTATTAAAGACCAGCCTGTTCCAGTATTCTTTTAAAATGAGTAAGAATGAATTTCACTGGACATATAAGATAGTTTTATATGGCCATATTTACACAGTGTTGGAAGTTACATTCTTTGCAACTATTCACATTTTGGTGACAGTTGCTATATGCCAATCTAAAAATGTGCAAGAGGCTTTTACAAAATTCTTTTAGGGTATATACAAGTAAAAAAATTGAAGACTCCTGTTGTAGCTCACCCTGCTGCTATTTTCTGACCAAAAACCAAGGGTCAGTAATTGTGGCAAAACCTTTCTAGCTCAGTATTGGTAAATGAACCAATTCATTAATTGACATAGTTCTAGTGACTCCTTGTTTTACTGGATGTCCCTAAGGAAGCCATTCAAGAATTAAAGGTCTTGGCCAGGCATGGTGGCTCACGCCTGTAATCCCCACCACTTTGAGAGGCCGAGGTGGGTGGATCACGAGGTCAGGCGTTCGAGACCAGCCTGGCCAACATAGTAAAACTCTATCTCTATTAAAAATACAAAAAATGGCTGGGTGCGGTGGCTCATGCCTGTAATCCCAGCACTTTGGGAGGCCAAGGCGGGCAGATCACGAGGTCAGGAGATGGAGACCATCCTGGCTAACACGGTGAAACCCCGTCTCTACTGAAAATACAAAAAAATAGCTGGGCGTGGTGGCGAGTGCCTGTAGTCCCAGCTACTCGGGAGGCTGAGGCAGGAGAATGGTGTGAACCCAGGAGGCCGAGCTTGCAGTGAGCCCAGATGGCGCCACTGCACTCCAGCCTGGGTGACAGAGCAAGACTCCATCTCAAAAAAAAAAAAAAAATTTAGCTGGACTTGGTGGCACGCACCTGTAATCCCAGTTACTTGGGAGGCTGAGGCAGGAGAATTGCTTGAACCTGGGAGGTGGAGGTTGCAGTGAGCCAAGATCGCGCCACTGCACTCCAGCCTGGGTGACAGTGTGAGACTCCATCTCAAAAAAAAAAAAAAAAAAATTAAAAGTCTAAGTACTTATGACACGTCTCAAAAGAGGATAACAGCCATTACATTTTATTTATTTCTTTGTAGGCAGTTATATCTTTACTTTATTCATCGTTATTGTTCTCCTCTTTGGAGGCACTCACCAGAAGGTATTGTATGAGTGTATATGTATAACAGACAGACAGCACTACAGTATTCCCCACTTATCCATGGGGGATACGTTCTAAGACCCCCTGTTGATGCCTGAAAGCATGGATAGTACCAAATCCTACATATACCACGTTTTTTCCTATACATAGCTACCGTGATAAAGTTTAATATATAAGGCCGGGTGTAGTGGGGCACGCCTATAACCCCAGCACTTTGGGAGGCCGAGGCGGGTGGATCACCTGAGGTCAGGATTCGAGATCAGCCTGGCCAACATGGTGAAACCCCAACTCTACTAAAAATACAAAAATTAGCCAGGTGTGGTATAGACGCTTGTTAATCCCAGCCACTCGGGAGGCTGAGGCAGGAGAATCGTGTGAACCCAGGAGGCAAAGGTTGCAGTGAGCTGAGATTGCACCACTGCATTCCAGCCTGGGCGACAGAGTGAGACCCCATCTCAAAATTTAAAAAAGTTTAATGTATAAATTAGGCATAGTAAGAGATTAACAATAATAACTAATAATAAACTAGAACTTCATTGCAATATACCATAATAAAGGTTATGTGAATGTGGAGTCTCTCTCTCTCTCTCTCTCTCTCTCTCTCTCAAAATATCTTATTGTACTGTGCTCACCTATATTTGGACCATTGTTGACCATGGGTAACTGAAACTACAGAAAGTGAAACTGGGCAAAGGGCAACTACTCTATTTGGATCTGTAAATGTGTAGCTTTCACCAAGTTTGGAAGTTTTTGGTCATGATTTCTTCTTTTGTTTTGTTTATTTATTATTTTTATTTTTATTTAAAGCACAAAAGCATAATGTTTTGTTTTTTTGAAACAGGGTCTCACTCTGTCACTCAGGCTGGAAGGCAGTGACACAATCTTGGCTCGCTACAGCCTCGACCTCCTGGGCTCAAGTGATCCTCCTGTCTCAGCTTCCCAAGTAGCTGGGACTATAGGCTCAGGCCACCACACTCAGCTAATTTTTAAGTTTTTTGTAGAGGCGGGGTCTACCTATGTTGCCCAGGCTGGTCGTGAACTCCTGGGCTCAAGCGATCTCCCTACCCCAGCCTCTGAAAGTGCTGGGATTACAGGTGTGAGCGACCGCGCCCAGCCTGAGCAGTGGTTTATATCTACTTCAGTTTGCAAAGCCTTTGGGACCGTCCCACACATACACAGTTCAGGGACTTGTGCTGGTTCATACACAGAGCCAGGGCATCCCCTTCTTTAGCTCTCGTCTCTCTGGGATTCTCGCCACACACCTCTACCCCAAGATCCCTTTTTCCTGTTCTTCTGGAAAGACTAGATTTCTTTTAAAGTTTAAGGTGCTTATGCTGCTGTAGAGTTCTCCAAGACTTGGGGCCATCCTCAGGACAGAGTAGCGAGAGGAATAAAATACCAGGAATTCTCCCCATACTCTGTGGACCACAAGGTCCCCTGTTCCCCTACTTTTCTGTCAGTAAGCCCAGATTTCTTTTTTTTTTTTTTTGAGGCAGTCTCACTCTGTCGCCCAGGCTGGAGTGCAAGGGTGCAATCTCGGCTCACTGCAACCTCCGCCTCCTGGATTCAAGCAATTCTCCTGCCTCAGCCTCCTGCATAGCTGGGATTACAGGCCCATGCCACCACGCCTGGCTAATTTTTGTATTTTTAGTAGAGACAAGGTTTCACCATATTGGTCAGGTTGGTCTGGAACTCCTGACTTCATGATGTGCCTGCCTCGGCCTCCCAAAGTGCTGGGATTACAGGTGTGAGCAACCTCGCCCTGCCCAGGTTTCTTTAGAAAAAAAGTTTCAGGTGCCTGTGCTGCTGCTTACTGTTCTGCCACACAGTTCTGTGACTACGGCCACGCTTGGGAGAGAAAAATGCAAACAAAACCCAAAACCTGGGCTTGCCTCACACTCTTCTATTAGCCAGGGCCCCCTTTCCAGTTCCTCTGGCCAAAAAGAGGAGCTTCTGTTGGAGTGTTTGCTACCTGCACCCCCACCCAATTCTGATTTAAGGTCGACCCTGAAGAAAAAAATGAGAAAAAAACCAGCATTTTACTCCCAAATGGGTTCCCTTTTCAATTTTGATTCTTCTCAATTCATGTACTATTGTTTTGTCTTTTGGAATCAGATAGTTGCCTTTTGTATTTTGAACACAGTTTGGAGAGAGGCTGAAGTGGGCTTCTTCCTTCTTGAGTGTCCCTGGTAGCCCCTTCCTCTTTTTGAAGCTTTCTCTTGTTTCCTTTTTCTCCTCTGTTTCTTCCACACCATTCTTTTCTTTCCACTTTACCCACTTTCTCTGTTTCCCCTTTTACTTTGGGCTCCCAGGTTCAAAGAGCAAAAAAAGGAAGAACCTGTAGTTTTTTAGTGGTCAACAGCATGAGTTGAAACCCCTGATTGATTGTGTTGAAGTAATAAATTGAAGCTGGGTGTGGTGGCTCATGTCTGTAATCCCAGCACTTCGGGAGACCGAGTCAGGAGGACCGCTTGAGCCCAGGAGCTCAAGGTTGCAGTGAGCTATGATTGTGCCACTGCACTCCAGCCTGGGCAGCTGAGTGAGAACCTGTCTTGAAAAAAAAAAAAAATGGCCAGGCGCATTGCCTCACGCCTGTAATCCCAGCACTTTTGGAGGCCAAGGCAGGTGGATCACTTGAGGTCAGGAGTTCAAGACCAACCTGGCCAACATGGTGAAACCCCGTCTTTACCAAAAAATATAAAAATTTAGCTGAGTGTGGTGATGCACGCCTGTAATCCCAGCAACTCAGGAGGCTGAGGCAGGAGAATCCCTTGAACCTGGGAGGTGGAGGTTGCAGTCAGCTGAGATCCTGCCACTGCACTCCAGCCTAGGTGACAGAGCAAGACTCGGTCTCAAAAAAAAAAAAAAAAAAAAAAAATCAAAGTCAAGTGTGAAAGTAGACCCAGGAAGCTAGAGACACATGAAGAAGCAAAAGGGGGCTGGAGGAATGCTTGGGCCAAACTGATCACCTGGCTATTCCATCACACTTGGATTTGTTGGTAATTTCTATTCATAAAACTGGCCCAACACTTAAGAACTGATCTTTAGGGCTTTTCTTTTTTCATTTTCTTTTAAGAGAGTTGCTGAATCTTTTATTTAATTGCATATAATTACAATGAATGCTGGTAAATTTTGAGATTACAAGGAATTTCAACAAACCTTATTACTCGTTATCTAAGTCCATTAGTATTGCTATAAAGGATACCTGAGACTCATTTACAAAGATTAGAGGTTTGTTTGGCTGACAGTTCTGCAGGCTGTACAAGAAACATCTGTTTCTGGTAAAGGCCTCAGGCTGCTTCCATTTGTGGCAAGAGTTGAAGGGAAGCTGGAATGTGCAGATTACACGGCGAGAGAAGAAGCAGGAGGAGAGGAGAGGTGCCAGGCTCATTTTTTCCTTGCCACTCTACAGCTCACAAATGGATGCCAGCCTCTTTTTAACAACCAGCTCTCCTGGGAACGAATAGAGCAAGAATTCACTCTTGTGAGAATGGCACCAAGCCATTCATGAGGGATCTGCCCTCATGACCCAAACACCTTCCACCTCCCACCTCCCATTAGGCTCTACCTGGGGATCAGATTTCAACATAAGTTTTGCAGGGGGTCAAACAAACCAGACCATAGCACTCATCATTCCAGAGAGACAAGGCATTCTTCACATTGAAATGACAGAATTTGATAAAGTAAAACATTCCTAGTCATGAGAAGTAACTGACTATATGAAATGATAGCCTCCTTTTTTTTTTTTTTTTTTTGAGACGGAGTCTCACTCTGTCGCCACACTGGAGTGCAGTGGCATGATCTCTACTCACTGCAAGCTCTGCCTCCTGGGTTCATGCCATTCTCCTGCCTCAGCCTCCCGAGTAGCTCGAGTAGCTTGGACTGCAGGCGCCCGCCACCATGCCCAGCTAATTTTTTGTATTTTTAATAGAGACGGGGTTTCACCATGTTAGCCAGGATGGTCTTGATCTCCTGACCTTGTGATCCGCCAGCCTCGGCCTCCCCAAGTGCTGGGATTACAGGCGTGAGCAACCACGCTCAGCCCTATGATGATAGCCTCTTATGCTTTCAGTCCATGGTGCTTTTGATATCCCCCTGCTTGCAGTCTGCGGTGATTTTGCAGTGTGCTTGTTCTGTGGCCTGGTTTGAGAAGTGTGGTGTGTGAGGCTGGGCGTGGTGGCTCACGCCTGTAATCCCAGCACTTTAGGAGGCTGAGGCAGGCGAGTCACCTGAGGTCAGGCATTCGAGACCAGCCTGGCCAACATGGTGAAACCCCATCTCTACTAAAAATACAAAAATTCACCAGGTGTGGTGGCAGGCACCTATAATCCCAGCTACTCGGGAGGCTGGGGCAGAAGAATCACCTGCGCCCAGGAAGCGGATGTTGCGGTGAGCCGAGATCACGCCACTGCACTCCAGCCTGGGTGACAGAGTGAGACTCTGTCTCAAAAAAAAAGGAAGTGTGGTGTGTGAGATGTTACCATCATTGTGTCTGGAAGATAGAGGAGGTAGTAACACTTACCATGATAATTCAGGGATTGAGCACTCACTGGGTACAGAGCACAGTGATGAGTGCTGTGGACCATTCAGAGGGAAATTATAATAATGACATGTAGGCATCACTTTGTAGTTGCAAAGTTCACTTCATGGTCTCCTTTCACCTTCCCAAGAATCCTGAGGCATGTATTATTATTGGGTAGATAATACTTATGACATATTTCCAGAAGGCCCCTGAGCTTTAGGTCCCTACTCGTAACTGCCAACTGTAGGCACTTCAAATGCAGATCCTCTAACTCTGAACTCCTCTGACCTGGGCACCTCCGCTCCCTAACTCTATTTTGATTGGCACCACCTTCCCTGAAGCAAAACATCTAAGATATCCTAGCTTCTCCCTTTCCCTCCAAACCTCCAACCATTTAATCTTTTCTCAAATCTTGCCTAATCTAAACTTCCCTTAGATCTTCTTCAACCCGCTGTCACTTTATTCCCAACTCCCCTCCCGGCCCTGACTACCACCCCTTCTAACTACTCATCAGTCCCTTGTTTCTCATGCTCTGTTAGATAGCTCCTGGCGCATAATGAATGTTCCATCAATATTTACTCGTCATTCATGCTTCCATGCGTTTGCATATGGAGGCATAGGCGGTGGGATGCCTTTACTTATTTTTCTTCTTCTGAATACCATACTCTCATCTTTGAGACTTAATTTGGTTCTTATCATAACTTTGGTAGCCTCTCTACTTCCCAGGGCTCAGTTGCATGTCTACCTTTCTTGAGCTGCCTGTCCCACATGCTCCCACCACATCCCTGCACACCTCTGTTACAGTAATTCTCAAAGTGTGGGCCCTTGTACTCTGAAGAGTGCTTCTTAAAAAGGCAGATTCCTGGGAATACCCAGAACTACTGCATCAGTATTGCTGAGAGTGGGGCCCAGGAGCCTGCATTTAAGAAGGCTCACCTCTCCCCCAGTGATTCTTACGCAGATGAAAAAGAGTGGTGAGAATCAATGTTTTATTCTCTCACCTGCCTTGGCCTGTACAACTAGTTCCAGGAGTGGGGAGTATGGCCACTTGGAGCAGTATCTGGGTAGGTTTCACCACCACTTCTGACCACTGGGAGATGAGAACAGCAAAGTTACTCAGATTTAATTTTTTTTTTTTTTTGAGACGGAGTCCAGAGCTGGAGTGCAGTGGCATGATCTCGGCTCACTGCAAGGTCTGCCTTCCAGGTTCACGCCATTTTCCTGCCTCAACCTCCCGAGTAGCTGGGACTACAGGTGACCGCCACCACGCCTGGTCAACTTTTTTGTATTTTTTTGTAGAGATGGGGTTTCACTGTGTTAGCCAGGATGGTCTTGATCTCCTGACCTCGTGATCTGCCCGCTTCGGCCTCCCAAAGTGCTGGGACTACAGGCGTGAGCCACCATGCCTGGCCAGATTTAATGGTTTTTAACTGTATCTTTACAAAGAGGCACAATCCTTTTTCATTTGTTTGTTTTTAAACCTTTTTTGAGTTATAATTTTATATGCCATAAAATTGACCCAATTTAAATGTCCTAACCTACTTTCTGTCTCTATAGATTAGCCTTTCCTGGATATTTCTTATAAATGGAATCATACAATACACAGTCTTCTTGTCTGACTTTCATTTAGTGTAATGCTTTTGAAGTTCACTTGTTTTGTTTTGTAGCATGTATCAGTATTTCACTCTTTTTTATGGCTGAATAATACTCCATTATAATACATATGCCATATTTTGCTTAGGCATTCACAGGTTAATGGACATTTGGATTGTTTCCATTTTTTGGCTATTATGAACAGTGCTGCTATGACATTTGTGCACAAGTCTGTGTGTGAACATATATTTTTATTTCTCTTGAGTAAAATAGAGTGGAATGACTGGTTCATATGGCAAATATGTGCTTAACTTCTGAAGAAACTTCCAAACAGTTTAAACCAACTGTCCCATTTTCCATATTCACCAGCAATGTCTGAGGGTTCCAATTCCTTCATATTCTCACCAGCACTTTTTATTATCTGTCTTTTAGGTTATAACCATACTAGTGTGTGTGAAGTGGTATCTGATTGGAGTCTTGATTTGCATTTTCCTAATGATTACTGATGTTGAGCCCTTTCACATGTGCTCTTGGCCATTTGCCTGTCTTCTCTGGGAAGATGTCTATTTAGATATTTTGCTGACTATTAAACTGGCATATTTGCCTTCTTATTGAGTGTAAAAGTTTTTTTATATATTCTGGATACAAGGGGAGTAACACATTTACTTGATGGAGGGAGAATGGTTCACGACCCTCCTGCCCAGTCTGTAGTGGCCTGGCCAGCAGGTTCTCCATGGCTCTTCTTTTCTCAGTGCCAGCGTGTGGCCCTTAGGGGACTCCTAGAAGCAGTTCTTTGAACTCTACCTCCTCCATGGTGTAAACAAGCGCAAAGGGGCAACGTGGGGACACAGAAATAGAAAGAGCTTCCTCAACTGCATAGGTGCTTAGAAAGGGCTATAGAGGGGCCTGGGGAATGAGCTCCTCTTCAGTGAAGGGTTTCTATCTCGTGTTTAGCTAAGCGAGCTTCCACTCCATGACAGGGGAGTAGTATATGGTTTATCCTGGCCCTGGTCAGCATTCAGAGTCCTTTATTTTATGGCTCTGCCTTACTCAGCCCCATCACCCCAAGTCAGTGCACAGAGCCAGGATTCGAGATGTACTTAGCCTTCCCCATGGCCTCAGTTCTCACTGGGCTCCCTCCTGCCTCAGTAGCCCAGTTCCCTGTGGCCCAGTGCCATGGACAGCTGGCCAGCCCCCAGTGGCTGAACTGTCTACTCCTCAAGGAGATTGTGCCTTGAGGACGCAGTCTGTGTCTCATCCACCTGTGTAGCCCCAAGCCAGTACCGAATGTAGCTCAAAACACCTTTGCAGACAATTTTCTTAAGCCACTGAATGAGGAAGAAGGAATGAGTTCGTATATTGGAAATAGGAAAACTGAGACTCAGACAGATTAAGTAGTCTGTCTACTAGAAGACTCAAGACCTCCAGAATCACGTGGGTTGTCAGTGAAGGGGCTGGATCTCAAATTAAGATTCTCTAATCCCCAGAGTTCTTTTTCCACTACATTAAGTTATGAGTCCTAGCCTTTTATCTTCAGACATTTCAACTTAGAGGACAAATGCTTAAACTACGAGGCAGATCAGAGATGGTTCTGAGGGGTGATACCTCCAGAGTGGAGGGGGCAAATGGGATGGTGAGGTAATTGTACATGTGGTTTAGATGGAAATGTCAGGGAGTAAGTATTTCTTATTTCAACTTAGAGGAGGAATATTTATATATAAGGCAAATTAGGGATGGTTCTGAGGGGTGAAACCACCACAGTGGAGGGGGCAAATGGGATGGCGAGGAAATTGTATATGTGGTTTCGATAGTCGATGGAGATGTCAGGGAGTAAAGACCTCTCCAGAGATTACTCTGATTTGTGAGACACTGCAAGATCTCTTGGAGGAGCTGGGATTTGAGGATTGAAAATTAACAGTGCTAGGAAGAACCTTAGAGGCAGCAGAATCATGGCATAGGAGAGGGATAGGGTAGGACACGTTTGGGACTTGGGGAGTTGTCCCTGTGGCATGTGGGTATCTCAGGAGCATGGGGAATTGTAGCTAGAGAGCTGGGGTGAGATCTTTCTGAAGGTCAAGCTGAAGCATTTTTCTCCTGCAGTGAGACCTGATTAGAGGCCCTAGAGGAGTCAGTTGGCTAACCAGGATCTCATACATGTTTTCTCCAGTTTCATGAAACATTGAGAGTGTTCTTTTTCTTATATAACTTTCTGGTCTCAGCTATTCTGATTACACCATCTCAAAAATCAGAGACTCTTGAAACATCTTTGCAATAAAAAGAAAATGGTGCTTTTTGTTTGCTGTTTGGCGAGAAGCTGGCTCCAGAAATGCTCTATAGGAGAGTAAGCAAAAGATACGAAGGCGGGCACCTTGGCAACGTGAATGTATCTCTTAGTTAAACAGCTTCCTGGCTTGACTGAGCAGGGTTTGCTTTCAGCCCCCTCACACTACAGTAGGGCAGGAAATGTTTTTTAATCAGCCTTAGTTTTCTAGATATGAGCATTGTGCCTAGTAGACAGTGGGAACTGACTGATTGAGTGAATGAAACAAACATATTCAATGAGCCAGTTAAAAAATGAATGAATGAATACTGTGATGGTTTGTTTCTCCTATACATACCATTACCCAATTAGTAATAGTGAATCACAGGGTTACTTCTCCCAGTGCTTGGTAGTTTCCTGGGAAATAAAAGAAAGTCACTGATACGGTTACTGTAAAGAGAATTTAACAATTGGCCAGACGCAGTGGCTCACGTCTGTAATCCCAGCACTTTGGGAGACCAAGGCAGGTGGATCACATGAGGTCAGGAGTTCGAGACCACCCTGGCCAACATGGCGAAACCCTGTCTCTGCTAAAAATACAAACATTAGCCTGGCATGGTGGAGGGCGCCTGTAATTCCAGCTACTTGGGAGGCTGAGGCAGGAGAATCACTTGAACCCAGGAGGCGGAGATTGCAGTGAGCCAAGATTGTGCCATTGCACTCCAGCTTGGGTGACAGAGTGAGACTCTGTCTCAAAAAAAAAAAAAAAGAGTTTAACAATCTAGGACAGTCTGATTTGATGGTAGTTTACCAAATATTTTAAATTTTGATGGACTTACAGAGAAATTAGTCCATTGTAACTTTATTTTTTGCAGAGAGTTCACATATAAACCAGTTGCCCAGCCTCACTATGAGAAAAGGTTTGAAAGTCTCCAGTTTCCTGTCACTTCAAGTCTATTTCCTTTTTTTTTTCTTTATTTCTTCTTAAAAAAAACACTTTAAAAAATGGGATACATGTGCAGAACATGCAGGTTCGTTACATAGGTATACTTGTGTCATGGTAGTTTGCTGCACCTATTGACCCGTCCTCCAAGTTCCTCCCCTCAGTCCCCATCCCCCAATAGGCCCTGGTGTGTGTTGTTTCTCTCTTTGTGTCCATGTATTCTCAATGTTCAGCCCCTACCTATGAGTGAGAACATGGGGTATTTGGTTTTCTGTTCCTGTGTTAGTTTGCTGAGGATGATGGCTTCTAGTTTCTTCCATGTCCCTGCAAAGGACATGATCTCATTCCTTTTTACGGCTGCATAGTATTCCATGGTGTATATGTACCACATTTTCTTTATCCAGTCTATCATTGATGGGCATTTGGGTTGGTTCCATGTCTTTGTTATTGTAAATAGTGCTGCAATAAACATATGTATGCATGTGTCTTTATAGCAGAATGATTTATAATCCTTTGGGTCTATACCCAGTAATGGGATTGCTGGGTCAAATGGTATTTCTGGTTCTAGATCCTTGAGGAATCGCCATACTGTCTTCCGCAGTGGTTGAACTAATTTACCTTCCCACCAACAGCGTAAAAGTGTTCCTGTTTCTCCACAGCCTCACCAGCATCTATTGTTTCCTGACTTTTTAATAATCACCATTCTGACTAGCATGAGATGGTATCTCATTGTGGTTTTGATTAGCTTTTCTCTGATGATCAGTGATGTTGAGCTTTTTTCTTATGTTTCTTGGCCACGTAAATGTCTTCTTTTGAGAAAAGTCTATTTCCTATTTAATCTTAGATTCATGATCTTCAGAAGCCCTTGGATCTGGGTCTCTCTTGCAGAATTGGAAGAGAAACACTCACTACCATTATTTCTGTATTTTTGGCCTAGTGAGGAGAACTTTCAGCTAGCAATCAGGAAACCTGAAAGACCCACCTCTTTTATTAACATGAAAATGTTATCCAAGTAGCATTATCTCTTACTTGTTTTGTGAACTTGTTGTGAGGAATTTACAAAACCCTTTAGACAATGTGGAGTTTTAACACAATTTGAAATCCTGAAGAAAAAGGAGCCATGGAAGAGACCCAAAGGCTTACATTAGAGGGAGCAAGTGTGCTCTTTCAAGTCATGGGAGGGAGCCACTGTGGTTCCAAGTAGGAAAAACTAATCTAGCATCTTCTTTTAAATGAAAATTTCTCCTATGAAAATCTGGCTTTCAGCCTGATCTGGAATGGTGCCAGTGAGTGGGCAGGCAAAGAAAAGACAGTGAGTGGTAGCTAATTAATTAGTCAATCAAAAAGTATTTATAGTTCTCTAGGTATAGGGCACCATGCTGGACTCAGTGGGAGATGCAAAGAAGAGTAAGACCCAACCTCAGCCCCTGAAAAGCTTGCAGCCGGTCTCCTTGGGAGGCGAGGTGTACAGGTGCTGACAGGAAAGAAAGCACAAGGCAGGTTTTTAATTGGGCCGTATGTCTCACAGATGCAAAATAGGTAATCCAGGCACATAGGTTGTTATTCTAGGCTTATCACCATTGACATTGCGCCATGGAGTGTCAACATTCAGAGCATCTGTGAAAGCTGCTTTTATAACTGGTTAGAGTGAGCTAGTTAAGGGCTTAACAGACCCTTCACCAATGAGCACAAGATGGGTTGGGTGAAGAAAATATGAGGGATGAAGGAGTGCTGCTAGTTTCCAAAAATGACCCCAAAGAGATTGGGCCTTCATCCTTTGCTGTTTAGAAGCAAAAGAGTCATTGTAAAAATGTTCAGAGGGAAAATATGTGTAAATATGTTCAGAGGGAAAAATAACGAATTACATACCACAATTTTCATTTTATGGTAACCGCACATACACGTAGACTTGAGAAAACTCTTTTAAACATGTTGGAGGAATAAGTACATGGGCAGAGGAAAATGAAATGTTGGGGACAAAAATAAGGCTATACTGACCTGAAGTTTTCTGTTAGTCATTTCCATTGACCAGATCTTCTAGATGACTGCTTGACATTTCAAATATAACTATTCCCACTGACAGCAAAATGAGATGGGATGACTTAATAGCTGCAGCGAACGTTCATTATGACCATGTTCCAGACTTTCTCTACCTTTATACTTAATGGCAACCCTGTGTATAGTATACCTCCTGGCTCAGATGCAAATAGTCATAACTGTGTTAACACTGGATATCGATCACAGAAAAACTGTGATATAACACTATTGGGAGGACAAGACAAAAGGCAATACGCATGCAGGTGGTAGTGAGGACTGGGCAAGCAAAAAGTAAACCCGTGTATTTTTGGTGGCAACTCAGTAGATAATGCCCCAAACTGAAGAAAACCAAATAATACACAGAGATAGAGTCATGTTATTTAGACATAAGGGGGAAGGGAGGGTGTGATTATCAAAGAAACAGTTAAAATTATTGAAAATGGTTAGCACTTATGACACAGAATGGAAGAGGGTAGAACTATTGATTCTTTAAATTATGTGCATGTCTAGCTTTGATAAAAATAAAAATTAGCCTGGATGCCATGGCTCATGCCTATAATCCCTTTATTTTGGGAAACTGAAATGGGAGAATTGCTTGAGCCCAAGAGTTCAAGACCAGCTTGGACAACATACAGAGACACTGTCCCTGCAAAAAATGAATTTAAAAAATTAACCAGATGTAGTGGCATGCACTGTAATCCTAGTTACTAGGGAGGATCTTTGGTGGGAGGCTCCCTTGAGACCAGGAGGTGGAGGCTGCAGTGAGCTGTGATTGTGCCACTGCACTCCAGCCTGAGAAACAGTGAGACTCTGTCTCAAAACAAAAAACAAACAACCTTGAAAAGTGAGGGGAAAATTCAGATAAGAAAAAAAAAAATGACCCAAAAGGAGGATGGGTGCACTTCTCATTATAATGAAACTCAAAAGAGAATACAAAAAAATTAATTCAAAACAAGGAATTAACATTAATCTCAAGTACAGTTTTTTAAAACTGATTTTTTTTTTTTTTTTTCTGAGACAGGGTCTCATTTTTTCACTCAGGCTGGAGTGCAGTGGGGTGAACACGGCTCACTGCAGCCTCGACCTCCCAGGCTCAAGAGATCCTCCTGCCTCAGTCCTCCAAATAGCTGGGATTGTAGGCGTGTGCCACCACACCCAGCTAATTTTTCCATTTTATGTAGAGATGGGTTTCGCTGTGTTGCCCAGGCTGGTCTAGAACTCTTGGGATCCAGCGATCCACCCGCCTCTGCCTCCCAAAGTGCTAGGATTACAGGCATGAGCCACTGGCCCCGGCTCCTAAAACAAATTGTGAAAAGGAGAAAGTTGTGCGATGTTATGTTCCTTCCTCTTTTTTCCCCACACACACTCACACTCTGGTCAGGTGTTTGTGTATATCCTTTGACCTTTCCTTGCCATCGGCTTCTACTTAAATAGGATGACTAGAGAAGATCTGGGGGGACAAGTTTGAGCTGTGTCATCTAACCCAGTCTCTTCATTCTCCAGCTGTGAATCTGGCTTCTCTTTGTTCTTCACTGGGTTCTTAGAATATCTTCTTTCCTGCCATCTTGCTGTATCCCCCTATTCTGCTGGCCTCCTGAAGCAAATTCCTTGGTCTATCCCCCTGGCTCTGACTCATTCCTTACCCTGACCTTGCTGTCTGTATTTGCTTTGACTACCCTATGAGTTTCCTCAACCTAATTCTTAATTCCTGGCTGCCACCTCCTTGTCAAAACTTGGCTAAATCCACTTTGGAATGCTAAGGCGGATGGGACTGCCTGGGAAGAATTTGGAGAATCTGCAGCTCTGCTCTTTCCTCATTCTTGAGAGCCAGGCTAGTGGCTGAGGGTATATCGGGAGACAGACAGGGAGAGAGACAGAGAGAGTTTGGAGAGAAGGCGGCATGATCATCCGATCATCTTGGGCCCCATCAGTCTCCTTGGGAATGCTAACATGTCTCCTGGTATAGTCTTTCTTTTATTTATTCTTCAGTTTATCTTAGAAACTGTTCTGAAAGTTTTAAACCCAGAGACATCTCTCCAACTTCCTTGCATGAGCTGTATTTTGACCGCCTTAGGGGCTGTGGCAGGATTTCAGTCTTGCTTGTGGTGATTTTACATGGAGTGACATCTGAGTCGCTTTTCGACTGCATTCCACACCAATCTGTCCAGCCCTGCAGTTTGTGGGCTGACTCCTGTTGTCTTTCAACATACGGAGCACTATGAGATAGTGCGAGTTTGGGTCTTGTCAGGGAGTCTGATTAAGCCACAGTCAGAGACGGCAGTCCTAAGTGTGAAATGTAACAGGCCTTCTCAAGACAGCTTCATCTGTGAGCTGCTGGAGGTGGCTGGTGCCATTCTGTTGGGAATAGAGGCTTGCTAACAAAGCAAACATTTTTTTTTTCTATCGCAGGCTAGGTCTATGGTGGTAACATTTGGCAAGTTGAGTAACAGGGAACATAGATAACTGTGAACAGATGGGCAACTATTAAAAGATTTGAGGGGCTTTCATCATTTCTCAAATGGCCTTCACCCACCTACAGGATACCCAGCTCCCTTGCAAGAGGATTACGTAAAGGATTCAATTACATTTCTCTTTCCTTTTTTTTTCCTTCAATTGCGATGGAAGCACAAGCTCTGACGTGAAGAGGAAAAGAATAGATGAGAAATTTCTAATTTTGAATCCCCTTAGGATTAGATGCTGATTTCAGCTGTGCAGAGAACACTGCCCCATATTTTGCAAGAGTAACTGCTGCCAGTTTCAGGAGAGATGACTTTCCAAAATAGACAGTAAACTCCGCCCTCCATAGCTGATGACCATCTGACATTCAGACAGAATTACAGAGCTATACAAGTTTTGATAAGTATAACCTTGCTTTTGAAAAATGGCAGTGGCACGTCATCACTGTGTTTAAGCTCAAAACTGACGGACTACAAAACACATAAGAGAAATAAATGTATTGCCTGGTCCCCAGCAGAAACATAAAATATTTATCCATCTGAGAGCAATTAAATTTATTTACCCCTGCTTTAGGACAGCAGTGTCTCTGATTCAGAAGCATGCTGTTCCTCTTTTGCTCAGAGTGATGCTTGGAAGGTTCTTAAGAGGGAGAAGAATTCCAGGCACTGATTAAGAGGAGGCTTGTTGTCGTCTCTTAAGGAGCAGCAGCCTGATTTTGCCAAAAGCAACCATAAGTTGATATGGCCGGGGTTAAGGTGGCTATAAGCTAGATCTCAGGAACCTGAACAAATTAGATTGGGTTTCATTCCTCAGAGGTTGCCTTAAAGACATATAAATTCTAGGGCCAATAATCTTAATATAAGTTTATAATTTTAGTCGGTACTTACCCTATGCACACTCATTTAATTTTCTGTTTGGAAGCAGGAAGCATGGATACCCTGCCCCCTCGCCATTTTTTTTTTTCCTAGACGGAGTCTTGCTCTGTCACCCAGGCTGGAGTGCAGTGGCGTGATCTCAGCTCACTGCAACCTCCACCTCCTGGGTTCAAGCAATTCTCCTGCCTCAGTCTCCCAAGTAGTTAGGATTACAGGTGCCCGCCACCATGCCTGGCTAACTTTTTTATTTTTATTATTTTATTTTATTTATTTATTTTTGAGACAGAGTCTCACTCTGTCGCCAGGCTGGAGTGCAGTGGCACAATCTCGGCTCACTGCAACCTCTGCCTCCTGGGCTCAAGTGATTCTACTGCTTCAGCCTCCCAAGTAGCTGGGATTACAGGCGTGTGCCATCAAGCCCAGCTAATTTTTGTATTTTTAGTAGAGACGGGGTTTCACCATGTAGGCCAGGCTGGTCTCGAACTCCTGACTTCGTGATCCGCCTGCCTCAGCCTCCCAAAGTGCTGGGATTACAGGCGTGAGCCACCGCACCCAGTCACCCTGCCCCATTTTTATCCCCAGTCCTCTAATCAGCTTTAATCCCTATTTATCCCAGCCAAGAGTACTGGGTAACTGAAGATCCCTGTCTCTACAAACCACCCCACCTAAGACTAAATTTTGCTTAAACATAACCAGAAGCCTTACAAAAGGAAAATAACCATTTGTCATATTTTAAATTAAAACCCTACATTCAGAATAATTATAATTTAAAATAATTCAGCAACAGAAACACCAAAACAAACCAATCAGTAATAAGTGGAAAACAATTAGCTCTTAGAGGTGATGGCCTCTTTGCCTGCTAAATGATGCTCAGAGTCATAAACTCAGTTCTCCTGGGCAGGGTTGTTTGGTTTTATGTAATTGAGTAAACAAGGATTATCGGTAGGTTTAGTCTCCCCTGGAGAATTATACTTTAACAGAAGGAATTATTGGAAATAGTGAAAATACGCTCCCACCATTAGCAGAAGAAGAGCTGGCAATATTAATTTTTCCATATATGTTTTGTGGGCTTTTAAAAAGTTAAGTGCTGTACATAGATTGTGTCATATAACAAGGAAGCATCCACACAGGCACTTGGAAGCAGTATAAAGGGAGTGAATATTTGTGTATTACCTATTGGGCTTGTAATAATCACTAATGGAATAGAAAATAAGCTCAATATAATGCCAATTTTTTTTTGTTCCAAGTTTTAGGTTCTTTTGAATTTCACGTATTTTTCTGATATTTAGAAATACTCTGTAGGTAAATAAAAGACGCATGCACACACATTTATAGCAGCACAATTCGCAATAGCAAAGATACGGAACCAACGTTAAGTCTCCATCAACCAATGAATGGATAAAGAAAATGTGGTATATATGCACTATGAAATACTAATCAGTCAAAGAAAGGAACAAAATAATGTCATTTACACTAACTTGGATGGAGCTGGAGGCCATGTTATTCTAAGTGAAGTAGCTCAGGAATGGAAAACCAAATATCATATGTTCCTCACTTATAAGTGGGAGCTAAGCTATGAGGACGCAAAGGCATAAGAATGATATAACGGACTTTGGGGACTTGGGGAAAGGTGGGAGGGGGATGAGGGACAAAAGACTACACATTGGGTACAGTGTACACTGCTCAGATGATGGGTGTATCCAAACCTCAGAAATCACCACTAAAGAACTTATCCATGTAACCAAAAACCACTTGTACCCACCCCCAAAACTACTGAGATTAAAAAGCAACAATAATACATACAATTTCATGGTTAAAAAATAAAAATAAAGCCATCCCCAGTGATTGTGTCTTCCTCCTCGCTGTTGTTGAGACTGATGGTGTTGGTTTACTCATCCTCCCTGATGCTCACGCAGCCTCCATTTGTGCCTGTGCTTTTCTAGAATGGCCAACATGCAGGGACTGGTGGAAAGACTGGAACGAGCTGTCAGCCGCCTGGAGTCGCTGTCTGCAGAGTCCCACAGGCCCCCTGGGAACTGCGGGGAAGTCAATGGTGTCATTGCAGGTAGGGTCACAAACTGTTGTCATTCCTGGTCTTCTTGTGGGTTACTTCATTTTGTTTCCATAATTTCACTCTCAAGGAACATTTCTATTATCCTTCAGCTTCCCTACTCCTTCCATCGTATGTGACCATAACATTAACCAGAGGCAAGCAATCCCTGAAAAAGAGAAAGGAAGAAAACCTTTCAACCCACAATCCACAACAATTATCAGTATCTGTGCCTTTTAGAGACAGGGTCTCGCTCTATCACCCAGGCTGGAGTGCAGTGGTGCAATCATAGCTCACAGTGACCTCAAACTCCTGGGCTCAAGGCATCTCCCTGCCTCGGCCTCCCGAAGTGCTGGGATTACAGGTGTGAGCCACTGTGCCCAGCCTCAGTGCCTCTTAAGAGCATATTCATCTTTCTTTCATTTAGTGTTCATACTGCTGTCCCGCACTCAATGACTAAATATGTTATCTACATAATTATCAAAAAAGAAACTAATGTTCTTGATTAGAATGTAAATTGGAAGGAATTATCATTCTGTAGATTTTCATTTTAAAAAGAACAAATCACTAAATTTAGGAACTAAAGTTTTGAAGGAAGCTGGTCTTATGCAAAGGCAAATATGACTTTGATGTAACATAACTACGTCACGGTGTTTTACCTTTGCCTATTCCTAACCAACTATGCTTTTTTTTTTTTTTTTTTTTTGAGTTGGAGTCTCACTCTGTTGCCCAGGCTGGAGTGCAGTGATATGATCTGGGCTCACTACAACCTCTGCTTCCCAGATTCAAGCGATTCTCTTGCCTCAGCCTCCCGGGTAGCTGGGACTACAGGCGCCCGCCACCACGCCCAGCTAATTTTTTGTATTTTTAATAGAGACGGGGTTTCACCATGTTAGCCAAGATGGTCTCAATCTCCTGACCTCGTGATCCGCCTGCCTCGTCCTCCCAAAGTGCTGGGATTATAGGCGTGAACCACCATACCTGGCCAACCAAATATGCTTTTAAAACTATATCCTAATACCATACTGTAAAACATTTTTTAATTATATCATCAAAAATAAAAAGTTGGCTACTTCCCAAAAAGGGTACCACATATGGCAAGCTCTCCAAGTTATCTACAATAATTTTTCCAATTCCTTCTTGACTAAGGGACAAATAAAAATTACAAATAATTTACTTAATAATTTTTTTAACAAATAAAAATAAAGGACAACCAATTAAATTTGAATTTCAGATAAAGAACACTTTTTTGGGGGGTATAAGGATGTCCCAAATACTGCATGGGCTATACTGCGTGTTATGCACCTACAGCAAACATTTATTCATTGCTTCTCTGAAATTCAAATTGAACCAGGCAATCTGCATTTAATATGGCAACTCTGTTCTTGTCACATGGGCACTTCCTCCTTATCTGACCCATACTGAATCCTGTCAGGTTTTTTTGGGCTGAGAAAAGCCGTGGGGAAGAAGGGACTTCAGAAAAAGCTTTCACCAGGAAAGACCTACATTGGTGCTTCTAGAATTTCAGGCGAATTTGGACCCGTGCCTGTATTACATACCATGGGACAAAAATTACTGTGTGAGCACAAATGTGCTGGCTGGTTTATTTCCCCCCTGAACATAATGAAAATTAAAATGCTTTGAATGAATTGAAAGGGGGTGTTGTTTTAAGGAAGGCTGCCAGGAGCCTGTAAGTTTTTTTCCGCACCAACTGAGACACATCTATGATTTCATTTTAAGCCTCTTTTTGTTAACTGTATACAATTGGTATATGATTCAATAAACCTTATTTGTAAGAAAATATTTTCACCCTCTCTTCAGTAACTTTGTTTCATTATACTGTTGGCATCAGATGATTAAAGACATTTCTGTAAACTACTGACCACAAATGTGAAGCCTGTGAATACACAAAACAAAGTTAAAATCTAACTACCGGGAGACTATATAGTATTATTGAGTAAAGAAAAAAAAAATCTCAATAATTTGAACCTCACTTACTCAAAGAGGTACTAGATTGAACTTGGTACATTGTAAAAAAAAGATTTTTTCTAGGAAAATTAATAGGCTAAGTAGAATTAGAGGGTATGTAATTAAATTATTTAAATTATTTAAGTGTTTAAACAAATATTTTCTCATATAACAAATCGTTCCAAACCAGTTTATTAAAGCAAAGCTCTTCTAAAACAACTTAGCCCGTAATTTACTATCCTACTTGAAATGAAGTAGGATAATTAGTAAATTGTCTGAATGATATCCATCCTTAAAACATTTTACTAATCCTAAACAACACCATTTCCATTTCTTCTTAATTAGTAAGTTTTGACAATTTTATAAATTCTATTTTTAACAAATCCGCCGAACAACCTTTTACCTTACATGTAAACATCATTACGACAATGTTATAACAAAAGTTATTTTTTTTTTAATTTTAAAAGAAACTTGAAAATGTTTAAAATCGGGATGGACGCAGTGGCTCACGCCTGTAATCCAGCACTTTGGGAGGCCGCGGCGAGCCGATCACGAGGTCAGGAGATCAAGACCATCCTGGCTAACACGGTGAAACTCCGTCTCTACTAAAAATGAAAAAAATTAGCTGGGCGTGGTGGCGGGCGCCTGTAGTCCCAGCTACTCGGGAGGCTGAGGCAGGAAAATGGCGTGAACCCGGGAGGCGGAGCTTGCAGTGAGCCGAGATCGCGCCACTGCACTCCAGCCTGGGCGACACAGAGCAAGACTCCGTCTCAAAAAAAAGAGAAACTTTTAGAAGGAACATAATCCCTTACAAATGCATAATAGGCATAGATCAAAGGACCACTCTATTATGATACTGGTATTATGATGTGCTTTAGAAGGTGAGTGTTTTTTTCCTCTGGTGATAATCACTTAAGTTGCGCTCAACAGTTGAAGTATTTTTGCGTTTTTATAATGCGACAAACACTGTGCTAGGTGCAAGAAAATTGAAGATGAATTATACACAGTCCTAATGCTCCAGAATCTTTGGTCTCAATGCATTACTATTCATGGCCCCAAATTCTTTGATTAAGGGATGCTCAAAGGATGCAGTTTGGAGAGAAAGACAGGTCTGCCCGCAGGAGGTGTGAACAGAGTTGAACGATGAAAGGAAATTGGAAAATATTCCCTTTTATCATTGTACCTTCTGCTATGTAGAGGACTCTGTCACTTTTCTGAAACTTTCTCCCACTTTAAATACTCAGCAGAGATCCCCGCTCGGGCCTCTTCCATAGCAACAAACAGGTTTATCTGTCTCCAAACGGATCCATAAGGAGCCTTTGGGCTTGTGTCCTTTTTATGTTCCAGAAGTTGTTATATACTGTGCTGTGAACTTTAAGATAACTCAGCTTCAACGTCTAGCTTCAACATCCTGCTCGGAAGTTAGAACATACCTGCAGAGAGTGTAAATAACTTGTTTCCATCACCCTTTGGGCCTGTGGAAATGGGTAATTGGGAAAAAGAGAAAAAGAAAGACACTCTCCTAATAGTTTTGTGAGCATAGAGAAAAGGAATCCTAGATTTTGGTTAGAGTTTTCATAGTTTCTCAGTATTGTATTTCTCAATATTAGGGACATGAAATCAGGGACTTAGATTTTTTTTCTGTTAATTAAAAGGCAGGGAAGGAAATGCAGAGCACACCTGTTGGGCAGTTGCCACTTGAGCTTTGCCAGTAATTTGGCAGCTCTGAACCCAACAGGTATGGGCTCAGCAGTCAATTTCATTCCCACTATGGTTGTCCCCCCACCCCCTGGGGAGTGAAGAAGGAAGAAAATGAGTGAAATCAGCTTTCTTTTCCTCCTTGCCCAGAGTTCATTATTACCTTCTGATTGTCCTGGGTAATCTTGGTAACTGTTTGTAAGGTCATTATAGCACCTGAGCAGGTGGCTATGGAAGAAGGGCCACTGGCTTTGGATGACTCGGCTGGGTTCAGGTTTTGGATCTGCCTTTTGTTTGGTCTGTAACTCTGGCCCTGTCAGGTGCTGTGTTTGCAGCCATTTCCTCATCTGTGATGGTGCTACCTACCTCCCTGGGTCCGGAGGGAATGAAATGAAATTATGTAGCGTCTTTACTCAGGAGGATGAAAAATAGGAAAACAGTGTTTTCCTGAGCTGTTGAGAAATGTTTAATAAACATTGATGGAGATCCGGGCATGGTGGCTCACGCCTGTAATCCCAGTACCTTGGGAGGCCAAGGTGGGCCGATCACTTGAGCCCAGGAGTTGGAAACTAGCCTGACCAATATGGTGAGACCCTGTCTCTACAAAAACTACAAAAATTAACAGAGCACGGTGGCACGCATCTATGGCCTCAGCTACTTGGGAGCCTGAGGCTGGAGAATCACTTGAACCTGGGAGGAGGAGGTTGCAGTGAGCCAAGATCACGCCACTGCACTCCAGCCTGGGTGACAGTGAGACCCTGTCTCAAAAAACAAACAAACAAACAAACAAAAAAACCAAACACATTGATTGAGTGAAGGAATGACTTAGCAAATGAATTGGTGAGAATGAAATTGATGATATTAAACTTCCATATTGCCTATGGCAAGACAGTCCCAGGTTTTCTTTTTTTTTTTTTTTTCTTGAGATGGAGTCTTGCTCTGTCACTCAGGCTGGAGTGCAGTGGCGCGATCTCGACTCACTGAGATCACCTCCACCTCCCAGTTTCAAGAGATTCTCCTGCCTCAGCCTCCTGAGTAGCTGGGATTAAAGATGCCTACCACCACACCTGGCTAATTTTTGTATTTTTAGTAGAGACGGGTTTCACCATGTTGTCCAGGCTGGTCTTAAACTCCTGACCTCAGGTGATCTGCCTGCCTCGGACTCCCAAAGTGCTAGGATTACAGGTGTGAGCCACCGTGCCCGGCTAGTCCCAGGTTTTCATTCAACGGCCAGGGAATAACAAACTGCTCCTTTCCCCAAGGTGTGGCACCCTCCGTGGAAGCCTTTGACAAGCTGATGGACAGTATGGTGGCCGAGTTTTTAAAGAACAGTAGGATCCTTGCTGGGGACGTGGAGACCCATGTAAGTACTTTCCTCCCCTGTTCTCAGTAGAGAGTTTAAACTTACCAGCCCAGCCTCTGACAACGCTAACAGCCTGAGGAGATCTTTATTTATTTATTTAGTTTTTACTCTGGCTAGGCAGATGGTGGCTAAAACATTCATTTACCCATTTATTCATTTAATTGTTCCTGCAAGGCCTATGGATAGAGTATTGTCCAGCACTGCTCTGGAAGCTAGGAGCATGGGGATGAACAAGATAGGCTACATCCTGTTCTCACAGAACTTCCACTTTAGTCTGGGAAACAGATGATATATACAAATATATAAATGAATTCAGGTAGTTTTAAGTACGAAAAGAATAAGAAAGCAGAGTCATGATTTAGAGTGCTGGAAACAGGGCTATTGCTTGAGATAGGAAGGTGTATCTGAGGTGACACTGAGCAGAGATCTGATGGAGAGAGGTAGTGAGCTGTGGAGTGATGTGGGGAAGACAGTTCCAGACAGAGGGAACAGCAAGAGCGAAGGCTCAGAGCAAGCTTGGTGTGTTCCCAGCAGAACAGAAGGCCTGGGAAAAGATAAGGGAGAGGGGTAACAAGGGCTCAGAGTACAACATGCTCTTCTAGTCACAGTGAGGGACTCGGCTCTCCTTCCCACTGTGATGGGAAGCCACCCGGGGTCACCGGGCAGAGGACTCAGGGCGATTTGATTTATGCTTTTAAAAAGGTCCCCTGGCTGAGCTGACTCAGTCACCAGCCACCCTTCTTCTTTCTGTAAAATGCGGCCTGAGGATATCACCTCATATCCATTGGGATGGCTACTATCCAAAGAACAGGAATTAACAAGTACTGGTTAGGATGGGGAGAAACTGGAGCCTCTACGCACTGTTGATGGGAATGTAAAATGATGCAGGCACTGTGGAAAACAGTGTGTTGGCTCCTCAAAAAAAAAAAAAAATGGAACTACTGTAGATCCAACAATTTCACTTCTATGTATATCCCCCAAATTTAAAAGCAGCATCTCCAAGAGACACCCATGTTCATAGCAGCATTATTCACAATAGCCACGAGGTGGAAGCAACCCAAGTGTGCATTGACAGATACACTAAATGTGGTCTGTACATACAATGGAATATTATTCAGCCTTGAAAAGGAAGGAAATGCTGTTACATGCTGTAGTATGGATGAACCTTGAGGACATTATGCTAAGTGAAATAAGCCAGACACAAAAAGACAAATACTGTATGATTCCATTTATTGGCAGTGCCTAGGGCGGTCAAATTTGTGGAGACAAAGTAGAATGGTGTTTGCCAGAGGCTGGAGGGAGGAGAGAATAGGAAATTGTTCAATGAGTACAGAGTTTCAGTTTTCCAAGATTAAGAAGTTCTGGAGATTGTACAACTATGTGAATATACTTAACACTATTAAGCTGTACACTGAAAATGGTTAAGATGGTAAATTTTATGTTAAGTATATCTTACTATAATTTTGAACAAAGTACAGCCTGAGGAAAAGCAAAAACACAGAATTTGATAATCTCTGGGTTGGAAGAGAACTTTAAAGGTACCTAAGCTAGCCTGCCAGTTTTAGACACTTTTCATATTTTAAAAAATATTAGCATCATCTCCGGGGTTAGTCATTGTTTGCATTCATTTAGTGAAAATCGAATGTGATAGCCAAACCAATTAAAAACATGAAAAGAAATGTATCACTGGGTTCTTCTTTTTCTTTGGCCTTTGTTTCTCACTAAGGATTGAATTCCAAATCTGTCTACCTATAGATTTCTCAGCAATGACAGAATCCTGGCAAAACCATTTTCAGTATAGATTCACAGAAAATCTGATTCTTGAATAAAGTTGTGGTTTGGGGCTTTTCGCATATTCTCACTCATAGGTGGGAATTGAACAATGAGATCACATGGACACAGGAAGGGGAATATCACACTCTGGGGACTGTGGTGGGATGGGGGGAGGGGGGAGGGATAGCATTGGGAGATATACCTAATGCTAGATGACGAGTTAGTGGGTGCAGCGCACCAGCATGGCACATGTATACATATGTAACTAACCTGCACAATGTGCACATGTACCCTAAAACTTAAAGTATAATAAAAAAAAAAAGTTAAAAAAAGTATAAAGGGATTCTCTTTTTGCTCCCCTCCCAATTAGACATCATATGCAACACCCAACACCAGTCTCCCAGGGGATCCAGTGACTCCGGTTATGCCAGAGGCTCCAAGACTGTAATTAAATAGGTGCTTATCTCATCACATTGCAATGTATTTGTTTGCCACATCTAAGAAAAACAAAGATACTTCTCCATTTCTGTTGAAGTACCCCTTGGTGAAAGAGACAAGCCTTGATATATACGAGTTCTGGAAAAACCTGGGCACTAAGATGCATCCACGTCAAATGTATCCCACAGCACTATTGTTACTACTCTAGTCTGTTTTTTTCCTCAGTGTTTTTGTTTACAAGAAACCTTGTATGCAGCAAGAGAGTGGCTGAGCCTCTTGTATTCTGAGGCGTGATAACTCCTGAACGCTAACATACACAAAGGAATATTATCTGCAATACACTGAAAAAGATGCTTGAGTGATTGATGAACATTTTCTGTCTTGAACACTATGACAGTAATCATTGTATCATTATGGTTACTATTCATTAATGCCAACATTAGGCTTCTGAGGTACACAGTACATTATAACTCATTAGGAGTATCTCAAAAATTCTAGATAGAAGCTTTTTACAAGAGAATAATGAGACCTATAAATAAGTATATTTAACTTTGCATTTTTTAAAAAAGTAAGATTTGTATGCTGTCTTCAAATTGCACAGTAAACAGTCCCTTTAAGTTCTTTTTAGAACAGAGTGAGTTATAAAGTGTAGCTTGGTTAATATTAAGTTTTTCATCTCTTCATTCATCAGGCTGTAAACAGGATGACTCAGATGAAGGAATATTCTCAGCAATGAATATGTAATGCTTAAGAAAATTTATGTTCTCCCTAGTTTTTAAAAAATAGAGGAAAGGAAGGAAAAGAATAGAAGACAGAAGGAAGAAAGGCAAGCAAGAAAGAGAGAAAGAAAGAAACACTTGTCATCTGAAAGTTTAGACTCCAGCTCTACAACACAAAGAAAAGTACAGGCAGCTATAGTCCATCTGCCCATGACGTTAATACTTTGAACATGCCGTTTATTTTTTCTCTCGCTTACAGAACCATGTGTCATTGGCATTAAGCTTGCAGCTGTTGCCTCTCACATCAGCCAGAAGTGGGGGTTGAACTTTATTCCAAGAACACACCTGTTGCCTAGGAAAAAAGCCCTCACATACCTGATTGTACAGGATGGAAATTTGAGAGTGACACAAATGTGCATCATATTAAATCCTGTGCCTGTGCTTAAAAGTCATTTCACAGATACCAGTAAGGAATAAGGGCAGCCAAGCTATGATTTAACGTCTGTCTCGATGTGTTGGCTGCTGGTTGGGCTTAATTTACTGAACACTCAATAGCCTATTGACAGAACAGACCACAAAAAAGGGGATCTAATAGCTACAATTAGGAATCTCTGCTGAACCTAAGAGCATAACAGGTTTAGAAAAGATTAGAACTTGTAAAGCCTTCTTGTGTGCAGCCTAAACCAAAGGGCTTATTTAAACTACTCTTCAACCCAAGAAACTTGACACAGCTTGCACCCCTTTTAAAAAAGAATAGATAATTTTATGCATAATTGCATACATGCATGATTTTATAATAGATATTGGGTAAATAGAGTTCTCAATGTCAAAGAAGCAGATCCTCTAGAAACTGGGCCTATATAATACCTAGCCCTTGGTTGGACATCATTTATCCATAAATAGATTTATGTGACTTTGGGTTTTTTTTTTTTTTTCGAGACAGAGTCTTGCTCTGTTGCCCAGGCTTGAGTGCAGTGGCGTGATCTGAGCTCACTGCAACCTCCACCTCCCGGGTTCAAGCGATTCTCCTGTCTCAGCCTCCCAAGTACCTGGGATTACAGCCGCACGCCACTACGTCTGGCTAATTTTTGTATTTTTCGTAGAGACGGGGTTTTACCATGTTGGCCAGGCTGGTCTTGAACTCCTGACCTCGTGATCCACCCGCCTCAGCCTCCCAAAGTGCTGGGATTATAGGCGTGAGCCACTGCACCCGGCCATTAGGGGTTATTTTTTAACAAAGTTATCCTATTGTTAGGATTCATGGCGGAACTGATCTCAGGTCTATTTCTAATTGATGTGACAAATAGGAAGCAACTGCAAATCATAGCTTTTCCTAACCCAAGTCTTTTTTAGAGATTTCTAGAACTTACATTTTAAATGTTTGTAGGAATCTGGAATCTTTATTTCCTGTTCTTGATTGAAATGGACTTAAAAAACTGCTGTTACCACATGCTCTCACTAATAAGTGGGAGCTAAACATTGAGAACACGTGGTCACAAAGAAGGGGACAATAGACAGTGGGCCAACTGGAGGGTGGAGGGCAGAAGAAGGGTGAGGATCAGAAAGTACCTGTCAGGTGCTATGCTTATTACCTGGGCAATGAAATAATCTGTACACCAAACCTCCGCGACACAAAATTTACCTACATAACAAACCTGTATGTGTACCCCTGAACCTAAACTAGAAGTTTAAAAAAAGATATCGTTAAAAAAAATAATTTTTATTAATTATTTAAAATGAAAGAACCACAATTTGAACAAAAGGGCAATAAAATTCAACTAAACGTAACACACATAAGGCATACTATGATTAAATCACATGCTGTATAATGTTCTGTCCTTGAGTTCTTTGACTTCTATAAAGGATGAACATGATCAGAAAATTATTACAGCCTCACTTTTGATGGGTCATAGTCACTATGCTAGATATTCCTAGTCTTTACCATTTATTTAAATCATCTACAAAATAGCTTGCTCACTTTGTGCCATGCTGTTCAGTTAATGAGTTCAAAGAGTGGCAAAATGAGAAGTCTCTGTTCCTCTGACTCACACTGGCAGATTGTATTAATATTTGGATTTAGAGTGGCCCTGCTTTTGACAGCATGACCTTGAGCTAGTCCCTTCATCTGCTCCTTAACGAGGCAGGATGACATAATTTCTCAGGGCCTCTGTCTCTCAATAGCCCATGCACCTGACTCATCAGTTCTCTCAGCCTGAAAGCATGAGGGAGCTATTCGGTTTCCAAATGAAGAGCTTGCAATAGGGTGGCCTCATCACCATTATAAAGAGCATCTTCAGCCATGCCAGGGAAGATGCCCTGAGAAACAAGCAGAAGGAACCATGTCAGAAAAAGGATACACAGAGCACTAAAGACAAAACATCTTTCCACTCTCCTGTGGTATAGATGAACATCAGCCTCCTTCATCTGAAAGGACCCGGAGGCCTCTACCAGTCTGTGCTTTCTGGTCCTACGAGTTGTCACATCTTCCTTTACATGAATCTTATCTCTGAAACATATAATAGCCTTATCTCTGGAATAAATAATACAGAATATCTGCATGTTTATTTTACGGATGGTATCTTGTATTCTTTCAATTCTTTTGATTCTTGAAAATATTTATGGATCACCTGTACTCATTTTAAAAGTGACCATTTACATGTTTGGTGCTTTAGAATCTGTGTCTATCCAGGATCCCCATCCCAAAAAATCTTATCAGAAGCACCACTGTGAGGCTGACTCAGCAAACCAGCCCATTCCATGTCGTTCTCCTCACCTCCCCACTCTGCCTTCAGCCAACTTGCTCTTCCCATGAACTTCCAGTTTTCTGTTCACTGTTTTAATTTGAACATTAATTTTTATTACCACTAGATGTGGAATATCTTGGCAATTGCAAGCCCGAAGAATCTGTATGTCTTTCAGTTTCACCAAATGGCAGAGATCCAAAAAATGACTTGCATCAAGAATTCTGCCTCTAGGTTTCATCCAGGCTTTAAATGGGGCATCTTCTTTCTTACTGGCTTAGCCATTAATGATAGCCAGAATTTTTAGAGAAGGAAGCATTTAAAAGTCATCTATTCCAGTTATCCACCCCTCCACCCCCTTGCTTGCTTGCTTTTCTTCTTTTTCTTGCTTCTTTCTTCCCTTCCTTTCTTCTCCCTCTTTTCTTTCTTTTCCTTTCTTTCCATTTATTTTCATCCTTCTTTCCTTCCCTACTTCCTTCTCTCCTTTTGTTTTTTCCCTCTTTTTGTCTTCCTCCCTTCCTTCCGTCTCCCTTTCCTTTGCTTTTATTTTCTTTTACTTCCTTCCTTCCCTTCTTTTTCCTCCCTCCCTCCCTCCCTCTCTCCCCCCTCCCTCCCTCTCTCCCTTCCATCCGTCCATCTATCTGTCTTTCTATCTTCTACAGAGAAGGAAACTGCAAATTAGAGAGGCTAGGTGATGTGCGTGGTGTGTTAAAGATCTCAGCAATGCAGTGGCAGAGCCAGGAATCTAGTCTCCAGAGTCTCTGTCTGTCACCTTGGCAGGCACCTACTTTAACCTGCAGTAGGATGGCCTCATCACCATTGTAAAAAGCATCTTCAGCCATGCCAGGGAAAACACCATGAGAAGCAAACAGAAGGAACCATGTCAGAAAAAGGATTTACAGAACACCGAAGATAAAACATCTTCTCTTCTTGCTCTCTCCTTGTGGTATAGACAAACATCTGACTCCTTCGTCTAAAAGGACTGTAGGCCTCCACGTTTCTGTGCTTTCAGGTCCTACAAGTTGTCATGGCAGCTGTGTCTCCCACCACCCTTGTGGTAATTGGCTGACTGGTGAGAAGCAAGACCGCACTGACCTGCCTCCTTCCTCACTCCCTCTTTCTAGAAGAGGAGGATAGGTCTCCATGACCAGGCTTAGGCCCAGGGCAGAGGAGAGGGTGGAAGGCTACTGTGCCTCTTAGTGACCAGGAGAATGCTGCCTCCAGGACAGAACTCTGTCCCTCTAGGTCTTCATTTCTGCGCCTTTGCACTGGCGTGGGCTCGGCCTGATCATTACTATGCTGTTGGCACCAAATTTGCAGAATTCAGAAAAGTCACAGATAGATCAGCCTCTGTTACCGTGTCTTCCCAAGAACGTGGAGAAGTTTTATTCTCAGCGTAGAACACATAGTTTGCTACCAAACATGCTTTGATTCACAGCCCATCTCCTGCTAAATCTCAGGCCTTCATTGGACATCCCTGTGACTCCTTTTTTACTTAAAGTTTGTTTCTAGAGCATACAATCCTCATCTATCTCACTAAACATCCTAATTTCACAAACACACTTAGAGCTTTGGGGACCGGCCAGTAAGAAACTGGACTTGGAATCAAAACCAGACTTCGAAGGGCCACCAGGCCTGACCAACCACAGGATTGCCCATTTACTCTACCAATGAAAAAAATCACCAAGATACCTTGCTGAAACAACGAGTCAGATTCCATGAGTCTCTAAGGTTAAGATGATAAGATGATACCTGCCCTTTTTCTTTTTCCTGGACAGCAAATATGCTTTCTGCCAAACTCTTGCTTCAATGTTTTTCTTTCTGCTTTTTTAGTAATTTAATTTCTTTTCTTTTTTTTTCTCTTTTTTTCTTTCTTTTTTTTTTTGAGACAGAGTCTCACTCTGTTGCCTAGGCTGGAGTGCAGTGGTGCAATCTCAGATCACTGCAACCTCCGCCTCCCAGGTTCAAGCAATTGGCCTGCCTTAGCCTCCTGAGTAGCTGGGACTATAGACCCGCACCACCAAGCCCGGCTAATTTTTGTGTTTTTAGTAGAGACGGGGTTTCACTCTGTTGGCCAGGCTGGTCTCGAATTCCTGACCTCAAGTGATCCACCTGCCTCGGCCTCCCAAAGTGCTGGGATTACAGGCGTGAGCCACTGCACCTGGCCTGATTTAATTTTTTGAGTAAATGTTTGCATGGGTTAAAAAATTGAAGCCAGGAAAAGCACCACGTGTACTTTGTGTAGTAACGTGTACTAATGTACGTGTTCATCCCATTTCCCTCCATACCCCTGAAGGTGATGACTTTTTAAGTTTCTTATGTATCCTTCCAGTGTTTGTTTTTGAAAATACATTTATTCTTATTTTCCTTTTATTACTAAACGGTCACTTCATTATGTACACTGCTTCACACCTTGTTTTCTTCACTTAACAATATATCCAGAATCTACAATGAACTCAAACAAATTTACAAGAAAAAAACAAACAACCCCATCAAAAAGTGGGCGAAGGACATGAACAGACACTTCTCAAAAGAAGACATTTATGCAGCCAAAAAACACATGAAGAAATGCTCATCATCACTGGCCATCAGAGAAATGCAAATCAAAACCACTATGAGATATCATCTCACACCAGTTAGAATGGCTATCATTAAAAAGTCAGGAAACAACAGGTGCTGGAGAGGATGCGGAGAAATAGGAACACTTTTACACTGTTGGTGGGACTGTAAACTAGTTCAACCATTGTGGAAGTCAGTGTGGCGATTCCTCAGGGATCTAGAACTAGAAATACCATTTGACCCAGCCATCCCATTACTGGGTATATATCCAAATGAGTATAAATCATGCTGCTATAAAGACACATGCACACGTATGTTTATTGCGGCACTATTCACAATAGCAAAGACTTGGAACCAACCCAAATGTCCAACAATGATAGACTGGATTAAGAAAATGTGGCACATATACACCATGGAATACTATGCAGCCATAAAAAATGATGAGTTCATATCCTTTGTAGGGACATGGATGAAATTGGAAACCATCATTCTCAGTAAACTATCGCAAGAACAAAAAACCAAACACCGCATATTCTCACTCATAGGTGGGAATTGAACAATGAGATCACATGGACACAGGAAGGGGAATATCACACTCTGGGGACTGTGGTGGGGTCGGGGGAGGGGGGAGGGATAGCATTGGGAGATATACCTAATGCTAGATGTCACATTAGTGGGTGCAGCGCACCAGCATGGCACATGTATACATATGTAACTAACCTGCACAATGTGCACATGTACCCTAAAACTTAGAGTATAATAAAAAAAAAAAAAAAAAAAAAAAGAAGTTTACGGATAAAAAAAAAAAAAAACAAAAAAAAAACAATATATTCTAGAGATCTTTTCTGTCAGTCCATCTAGAGCTTCTTCACTGTTTTTTACGGCTTCAAAATACTCCTCTGTGTAGTTTATCACAGTTTATTTGACCAGATCCCTGTTGCTGGACATTGGGTTGTTTCTAATCTTTTGTTACAGTGCATAAGCATGTATTTTCTATATATACAAGTATATCTGAGGATAAATTCTCCAAAATGGGATTCCAGGGTGTATCAGTCAGGGTCCTGGAAGGATACTCATGGATAGATCCTGTGAGTCTCTAAGGTTAAGATGACTAAACTCTTAATCTTGGCATGGTTAAACTAAGGAATCTTTCTTTCTTTCTTTCTTTCCTTCCTTCCTTCCTTCCTTCCTTCCTTCCTTCCCTCCTTCCTTCCTTCCTTTCTTGATAGAGTCTCACTCTGTCACCCAGGCTGGAGCACAGTCATGCGATTTCGGTCACTGCAACCTCTGCCTCCTAGGTTCAAGTGATTCTCCTGCCTCAGCCTCCCAAATAACTGGGATTATAGGTGCGTGCCACCCTTCCAGCTAATTTGTTTTTTCTTTTGTGTTTTTAGTAGAGACAAGGTTTTACCATGTTGGCCAGGCTGGTCTTGAACTCCTGACTTCAAGTGGTCCACCCGCCTTGGCCTCCCAAAGTGCTGGGATTATAAGCATGAGCCACCGCGCCTGGCCCAAACAAGGGAATTTGAGGAGAGTTTAATAAAGGGACTATTTCGAAAGCTGTGAGCAGGCAGTCAGGAAACAAGAAATCATAAAGTACCCAGGACTGCCAATCACAGGAATCACTGCTACCCCAAGGTTTGGAGAGGAAGAGAGAGGGAGGCGGGTATCAGAACCTTCCGCAGAGAGACACGGCCATGCAATGGAGACCAGCAGGAAGAACCAGGGGAATAAAGGCCACCTTCTGCTTGTCTCCCTTGCTCCAGTCTCCTCTCAAGCCTTCCACTGACTGAACCCAGTGAGAATCCAGGAGCCAAGGAGCCTGTGGATGCTGATGCCATCTATGTCAGGGGTCCCCATCCCTGTTAGGAACCAGGCTGCAGAGCAGGAGGTGAGTGGCAGGCAGGTGAGCGGCCAAAGCTTCATCTGTACTTAGAGCCACTCCCCATCCCTTGCATTACTACCTGAGCTCTGCCTTCTGTCAGATCAGTGGCGGCATTAGATTCTCAGAGGAGCATAAACCCTATGGTGAACTGCGCATTCGAGGGATCTAGGTTTTGTGCTCCTTATGAGAATCTAATGCCTTATGATCTGTCACTGTCTCCCATCACCCCCAGATGGGACTGTCTAGTTACAGGAAAATAAGCTCAGGGCTCCCACAGATTCTACATTGTGGTGAGTTGTATAATTATTTCATTATATATTACAATATAATAATAGAAATAAAGTGCACAATAAGTGTAATGCACTTGAGTCATCCCCAAACCATCCTCCTGCTCTGTCTGTGGAAAAATTGTCTTCCATGAAATTGACCCTTGGTGCCAAAAAGGTTGGGGACCACTGGTCTAGTGGTTGGCCTGGAGCACAGAGCAGGGTGCAGCAGGGTAGAGAGTGGGTCTAGAGCAGCAGAACAGGGATAGGCGGGATGCTGGGTGAAGGGAAGGGCATTGTGCTTTTGAGATCTGTTGTAAATTGCCTTCCATGGGGATATGCCTGTTATACTTTCATCAGCAATGGATGAGTGTGTCTGTTTCCCCAAACTCACCTACAGAGGGGGATGTCAGTGGAGTTTTGCCAATCTGATGGGTGACAAACAGTATTTCTGTGTCGTTTTCAATTTGTATTTTTCTTATGATGAGTGAGGTTGAGCACTTTTTCATATGTTTAAGGGTCACAGGCTGGGCGTGGTGGCTCATGCCTGTAATCTCAGCACTTTGGGAGGCTGAGGCGGGAGGATCATGAGGTCAAAAGATCAAGACCAGTCTGGCCAACACGGTGAAACCCTGTCTCTACTAAAAATACAAAAATTAGCTGGGCATGGTGGCACATGCCTGTAATCCCAGCTACTCAGGAGGCTGAGGCAGGAGAATAGCTTGAATCTGGGAGGTGGAGTTTGCAGTGAACAGAGATCACGCCACTGCACTCGGTCCAACCTGGGCAACAGAGCACGACTCCGTCTCAAAGAAAAAAGGGTCACATATCACTTTTGCTGTGAGTTGTTTATGCATTTCTTTAGTCCATAGGCGGGAGCAAGAAAGTCATTGGTTTATTATTGATTTGTAGAGAACTTTACATGTTGGGGATATTAGCCTCTGTCTGTGGTGAGAGATACAAATATTTTTCCCCATTGTCACTATGGCATTATGACTAGATTATAACATTGCTGGCCAGGCGTGGTGGCTCAGGCCTGTAATCCCAGTGCTTTGGGAGGCCAAGGTGGGCGGATCACAAGGTCAGGAGTTCAAGACCAGCTTGGCCAACATGGTGAAACCCCGTCTCTACTAAAAATACAAAAATTAGCTGGGCGTGGAGGTGGGTGCCTGTAATCCCAGCTACTCGGGAGGCTGAGGCAGGAGAATTGCCCCAACCCAGGAGGTGGAGGTTGCAGTGGGCCGAGATCGTGCCACTGCACTCCAACCTGGGCGAAAGAACGAGATTCCATCTCGAAAAACAAACAAAAAAAGAATTGCTTATGTTGGTTTTTTTGTTTGCTTGTTTGACCATCCAGAAGTGTTTTTTTTTTTTTTTTTTTTTTTGAGACGGAATCTTTGTCTGTTGCCCAGGCTGGAGTGCAGTGGCACGATCCTGGCTCACTGCAAGCTCTGCCTCTCAGGTTCATGCCATTCTCCTGTCTCAGCCTCCTGAGTAGCTGGGACTACAGGCGCCCACAACCACGTCCAGCTAATTTTTTTGTATTTTTAGTAGAGACGGGGTTTCACAGTGTTAGCCAGGATGGTCTCAATCTCCTGACCTTGTGATCCGCCCACCTCGGCCTCCCAAAGTGCTGGGATTATAGGTGTGAGCCACCGCACCCGGCCCAGAAGTTTTTTTATGTAGTAGAATTTATTATAAACATATCTTTTTTTTTTATGGCTTCTAGAATGTGAGTTGTCATTTAAAAGGCTTTTTCTGCCGGGCGCGGTGGCTCACGCCTATAATCCCAGCACTTTGGGAGGCCAAGGTGGGCAGATGACGATGTCAGGAGTTCAAGACCAGCCTGACCAACATGGTGAAACCCCGTCTCTACTAAAAACACAAAAATTAGCCGGGCGTGGTAGTGCACACCTGTAATCCCAGCTACTTGGGAGGCTGGGGCAGGAGAATCGCTTGAACCCAGGAGCCGGAGGTTGCAATGAATCAAGATTGTGCCATTGCACTCCAGCCTGGGCTACAGAGCGAGACTCTGTCTTAAAAAAATAAAGAGAGAGAGAAAAAAGAGAGAGAGAAAAAAAAGGCTTTTTCTTCTAACACTTTCATGGCTTTATTTTTGACACATAAATTTGATCCACATTTGAGTTTATCTTGGTGAATGACGTTAAGGCATGGATCCAACTGTTTTTTTTTTTTCCAGATAGGTTCCTGCAGTTCCCATCACTATCATTAATCAGTCCATTTCCCCCATGGATCGAAATGCTGCCTTTATCACATGCTAAACACCTGTATATCTTCAGGTCTGTTTTTGGACTTTCTGTTCATTCCATTGTGCTGTTCATGTCTCAGTTCCAACTGCTTTAGTCACTGAGGATTTAGAGCAGCAGTAGTCAACCTTTTTGGCACCAGGGACCGATTTCCTGGAAAACAGTTTTTCTGTGGACCGGGGAGAGGGATTGCACTTTATTTCTATTGTTATTATATACTCATCAGAAGATAGAATCAGTGAGAGCCCTGAGCTTATTTTCCTGCAACTAGACGGTCCCATTTAGGGGTAATGGGAGACAGTGACAGATCATCAGGCATTATATTCTCGTAAGGAGCACACAACCTAGATCCCTCGCGTGCAGTGTTCACAATAGGGTTCATGCTCCTATGAGAATCTAATGCCATTGCTGATCTCACAGGTGGTGGAGCTCGGGCGGTAATGCAAGCGATGGGGAGTGGCTATAAATATAGACGAAGCTCCAGTCACTTGCTTGCTGGCTTGCTCACTGCTCACCTCCTGCTGTGCACCCCACTTCCTAACAGGCCATGGACCAGTACCAGTCTGTGTGTCCTGGGGGTTGGGGACCCCTGATTCAGAGTATGTTTCATGTGTAATAGAGTTAATTCCCCCCATAGGTCTTCCTATCCAGAGTTCTCCTGGATGGTCTTGCTTGTCTTTGCTTTTTTATTTAAAATCAGCTTGTCTGTTTCCAGAAGAAAAATGTTGGAGTTTTTATTGGAATCGGTTAAAATTATAAGTTAGTATTAAAATGTTCACATGTGTGTGATGTTGAGTCTTCCTCTCCAAAATCAGGATATGTCTCTCCATTGATTCAAGTCCACTTTTGTATCCTTCAGGAGTAGGATTAAGTTTTTCTGCAGAGTTTTGGCATGATTCTTGAGTTTATTTTGGAGGACAGGGGCTGTTATTTTTAGTAAATGGGCTAATTTTGTCTGTGTATTTTTGAATTGGTTGTTCGTATATGTGAAAGCTGCTGATTTCTGTGTGTTAATTTGTGTCTGGCTACCTTTCTGAAGTTCACTTTTGTTGTTGTTTATTGGAGCTTTTCAGTTGATTATTCAGCACTTTTTCAGTATATAGTTATTTGCAAGTAGTAATTACTGACCTCTTCCTTTTTATACCTTTCATGTCTTTTTATTTACTATTACCTTTAAGACAGTATTTTAAAAATGTTGACAGAGGCTTATCTTTTAGCAGGAATGTCAGCCCATTAAGTATGATGCTTGTTTTGGGCTGAAAACAAACTGTGTGTGGTGTGTGTGTGTGTGTGTGTGTGTGTGTGTGGTCATTTTAATGTTCAATTCTGTATCTCCCATTTTTTTATTATACTTTAAGTTCTAGGGTACATGTGCACAACATGCAGGTTTGTTACATATGTACTCATGTGCCGTGTTGGTTTGCTGCACCCATTAACTCGTCATTTATATTACGTATTTCTCCTAATGCTATCCCTCCCACATCCCCCCACCCCATGACAGGCCCTAGTGTGTGATGTTCCCCGCCCTGTGTCCAAGTGTTCTCTTTGTTCAGTTCCCACCTATGAGTGAGAACATGCAATGTTTAGTTTTCTGTCCTTGCAATAGTTTGCTCAGAATGATGGTTTCCAGCTTCATCCGTGTCGCTACAAAGGACATGAACTCATCCTTTTTTATGGCTGCATAGTATTCCATGGTGTCTCCCATTTTTAAGCAAGAAGATTGTTGAATTTTTTTCAAAGGTCTTTTTCAGCATCTATAGATGCTAAAAATATAACTTTTCTTCTTAGATCTTTTAATAAATTACATTAATATATTAGTATTTCTTCATATTGAGTCATTCTTATATTTTAGGAGGCTATTTAGTTATATCGAAGTGACCATTCTAAACTTTATCTCATGTTTCTTTCAAGATGTTTAAGGAATTTCACAGTGGCAAAGAGAAATACGAAATTTTCTGAGTTATGTAAACTAATTTGTTCAAGGAAAACATGCTGCCTTTGAAAAATCCTTATGTACTTTCAAGCTTTATTATTAATATATTATTAAATATCAAGTGCATTTTAAAATACTTTTTAAATCTTAAGACCATTGTATGTACACAGTACATAGGCTTATTTCAGATCCTCTGTCCAAATGAAAACAAAATTGTCGTTTTTACTTTGAGACAGGGTCTCACTCCTTTCGCCCAGGCTGGAGTGCAGTAGCAAGATCAAGGCTCACTGCAGCCTCAACTTCCTGGGGTCAGGTGATTCTCCCACCTCAGCCTCCTGAATAGCTGGGACTACAGGTGCACACCACCACGCTCAGCTAATTTTTCATATTTTTAGTAGAGACAGCGTTTCACCATGTTGCTCAGGCTGGTCTTGAACTCCTAGGCTCAAGCAATCCTCCCACCTTGGCCTCCCAAAGTGTTGGGATTACAGGAGCGAGCCACGGTGCCTGGCCTTAAAAATATACATTTCCTATCATAGATTCATAGTTAAACTACGGCCAACAGATTTGAAATGTGTAACTGTTGAAAACAAAAGTTCAAATTAACTTTAAAATGCATTTTTTTCTGTTATGTACGTAACCTACACTTTTCAAATTTAAAATTAAAAAAAAAACAGCAACAATAACATGTAGGAATTGTAATGAACTCTTGTTGCGTTCACTTCTTTGCATAACTCGTTATTGCCTGTACAAACAAATTAAGCAGGAAGAGGAAGAACCTCCACAATGACATTAGCCTTTCCTGGCCTGTTTTCAGTAGTTGATACTTTAGGGGCAATTAAATTCTTTGGTCGAGTAAGTCAGGCAAAGCTGAATCCTCACTGGAGTTGCTGAATCTGAAAGAGATTCCTCTACTCCTTAGAGCTCATGATATAATGATTGGAATATTGCACTAGGGGAAGGAAACCTGGGTTTCACCTCCAAGTTGACCATGAACTTAGTGTGCAGCTGTGGATGGGGTTCTTAATTCTCTGGGTCTTTGAATCTGCACATGATGATGTTCGCCGCCAGGAAACCTGTGGAGCACCTGCCCTGATTCTTCCTTTCTGTTCTGTGTTCGCTGACATAAGCAAAACGGAACAGACAACATGTGCAGGGGTGAATTTGTGAGCATGCCCAGGGCTGCTGTGCTTGGGGTGAATCACATTACCCTTGGGTACCTCTTCACTTGCATCTGGGAAAAAACTGATTGAGTCTCACATGCATGATATTCCTCTGTGGAAATGCATGGCATGTATCTACAGCTCAGTCCATGCCAGAAGTTCCTGAGAGCTGGCTGGGTGTGGTGGTTCAGGCCTGTAATCCCAGCATTTTTAGAGGCCAAGTGGGGGGAATTGCTTGAGGCCAGGAGTTCAAGACCAGCCTAAGCAATATAGTGAGACCCCATCACTATTTTTTTTTTTTGAGACAGAATATCACTCTTTCACCCAGGCTGGAGTGCAGTGGCAGCATCTTGGCTTACTGCAACCTCTTCCTCCTGGGTTCAAGCGATCCTCGTGCCTCAGCCTCCCGAGTAGCTGGAACTACAGATGTGCGCCACCATGCCAGGCTAATTTTTCTGCGTTTAGTAGAGATGGAGTTTCACCATGTTGACCAGGCTGGTCTCAAACTCCTGACCTCAAGTAATCCACCGCCTCGACCTCCCAAAGTGCTGGGATTACAGGCATGAGCCACTGGCCCCGGCTGGCCCCATCACTATTAAAAAAATAAAACTCTTGAGAGTAACCAGCAACTTTCTTCCTAACATTTTCTCCTCAAAAATACCCTTTCATTAGCTGAGCATGGTGGCACGCACCTGTAGCCCTGGCTTCTCGGGAGACTGAAGCGGGAGGATCATTTTAGCCCAGGAGTTCTAGGCTGCAGTGGGCCACTATCACGGTATTGCACTCCAGCCTGGGTGACAGAGGAGGCTCTGTCCTAAAAAAAGAAGAAAAAAATATGCTTTTAGAGGATTGTTTCCAATGTCCTGAATTAATCATGTTACTGAATACTGCAGAATATATGTTCTTTGTCTTGCCTCTTGCCTTGACGCCTCTTTTCCCTACTTGCCGTCTTTCTAAAACTGTGCCCATAATTGGAAATTTGTTGTTGTTTTCTATCTAGACTTCGAGATAACTCTGTTGTTTGCCTGGAGGCTGCTTCAGCAATACTTTTGTACAAAAGGAATGACCTCTTTACATACTGATTTCGTTTAGCTTATCTTGTTATTTCTATTCATGCACCCATTCCCACAAAACACACAGACACACACACACACACACACGTGCGCACGTGCACTCCCTCCACTCATCTATGAATTCCTCATGATATTGTATTGGCTACATGTAAGAAAAAACAGTCTCAGTCAAATGTATGGGCACACTGGCTGAAGCATCACTCTGATTCTAGGGAATGTGTTTGCAGATTTATTATATTACTATGCATAAAGCAAGTACAAAATATGTTTTCCAACCTTCAGTATTTTTTTCCTTTTCTGGTTGTCTTTACATTGTGGTTTAACACTGTTAGTTTTAAAACATGCCAGATTTTACATACACACACATATGTTATAACATATTACACACCAAGTCTTTTTCATGTATCAAATATAAGATGTTTTAGTGATGTAAAAGAGAACTCACATGTGTTTGCAATACAAATCCTTTCCCTTTTAGAAAACCCTTTTAAAAAAATATTTTAAATAGTGAGGTACTTGGAATGCTGATACTTGACTTTCAATTGCTTTAGTTAAAACAAATTCATATACAGGTAAAGTAGCATGATTTATAACTTTGGGCCCACCTGTTGAGAGTTGGGGTTTATTACAAGGTTCCAGAATTATGCTCTTTTCTTCCAGCCCTGTCTCTGTCTAGCACTGTGCCCATAATAGCTAGTAAGTGTTTTCTAAATACATAAGTGAAAACAAGTATTTAAATGGATGAATCAAATTATTAAGGAAGAATGGAATCAATGGACAGATGAATTTACTGTGGCGGACAGCTTGAATCAAGCCAAACCTAGACCAGTAGTTAAAAAACAAATCATCAGCTAGGCGTGGTGGCTCACGCCTGTAATCCCAGCATTTTGGGAGGCCGAGGCAGGCAGATCACGAGGTCAAGAGATAGAGACCATCCTGGCCAACATGGTGAAACTTGGTTTCTACTAAAAATACAAAAATTAACTGGGTGTGGTGGCATGCTAGGACCTGTAGACCCAGCTACTCGAGAGGCTGGGGCAGGAGAATCGCTTGATTCCGGAAGGCAGAGGTTGCAGTGAGCCGAGATCGCGCCACTGCACTCCAGCCTGGCGACAGAGCAAGACTCTGTCTCAAAAAAAAAAAAAAAAAAAGTCATCATGGCCCAGGTTTTAAGTCATGAAATTAGCAAGTGAAATATTGAGAAACATAGACTATTATCAACACCTGTGAAAAGAAGGGGAAAAATACGTAGACTATTAGATTGCCATGTCTCTGTAGATTTTTGTTTCTCTCTCTCCACACACACACACACACACACACACACACACACACACACAACACGAGTCCTGATTTTATCACAGCTGTGACAGTTTATCCAGTACCCGCCTCATTCCCTTCATTCTCGTTGCTCTTTTGTAGTTGAGGAAAGTGAGCCATTGAAAGACTGGGGCTCTGAGGCAATATAAGAAAGTGAGACTAAGATACATAAGTAACCTGAAAATTCACCAATATATTGACTTATAATCACTGACAATAGAAACACCTTTAGCTCCACCTGAGACAAGATATTTATGTGAACCTTACTGTAAGTATTTTATCTTATTATTTATCTATTTGGAGACAGAGCCTTACTCCGCCACCCAGGCTGGAGTGCAGTGGCACAATCTCAGCTCACTGCAACCTCCACCTCCCAGGTTCAAGCAATTCTCCTGCCTCAGCCTCCTAAGTAGCTGAGATTACAGGCATGTGCCACCACACCCAGCTAGTTTTTGTATTTTTAGTAGAGAGGGGGTTTCACCACGTTGGCCAGGCTGGTCTTGAACTCCTGACCTCAGGTGATCCACCCATCTCGGCCTCCGAAAGTGCTTGGATTGTAGGCGTGAGCCACCACGCCTGGCCTCTATAAATATTTTAAACTGAAGGTCAGGTTAAGAAATAGAATTTCGTTTGGTTTTCCAGTTTGGATTGGGTTGTGGCATGTTGCTTCCCCCTCAATTGTTTTCAAAATGATAGCGATCGGGCAAGAAATGACTTTGGAGTCTGAAAGGGTAAGTTGGGAAATTAAACTTTTGGTGGGGACTTTACTGTGTATTTCTAATAATCAAATCTCCCTGGTTTCAAGAGTCTTTGACCGTATTTATATCATTGTAAACATCTGGATGGAAAGTGAAAAATTCAGTTGATTATCTCAATATATACAAATACAGGCAGTCCCAAACTTCTCAGTGAGATCCCCTCTCCCCAAAGCTCATTTGTAAATTATTTCTTAGAAACTTGGAAGACATTCTCCCATAGACATTTCCCATAGACCATGGGTGGTTGGGCTCCCATGGAAAGATATCGAACAGCACCGCCGCACGTGCTGTGCACAGAGGCTGCAGCTCGAAAACTATTCACTAACGGTTTGTACCATGAGATAAGTACAGAAATTATGCGTTACACTTTGAAAACTTGTATAGCAGTGCAACAGAGGAATTGTCTGCTAAATCTAGTAATTGAAATAACTTAGACTTGTACTATACTTCGTATTTCAGTTTTTTTAATTTCATTTTTCTAGTACTGCATTTTTACTTATTTTACAAAGGTATCAGTCTGTGATAGATGAGACATTATGAAGAAAAACCTTCCCTATAGGTTACTGAGCAGTACTTACATAATGCAAAATACTAAAACATTTATTTTACCATGCTTTTAGTTAAATGAGACAAGAAAACAATAACATGAAATGAAAAATAGTCATCTGTTATGAATGCTGACACCTAGGGGAATGTGAGTTTAATTAGAGAAAGTCAAAGACATAAATAGGGATTTCTATGTGTATTTTCAGCTGACTTTGGGTCTGATTCCTTTCTACTTTAGATACCAAACAAGATTTTTCTTTTTTCTTTATATGAGTATATAGTTATGCTGCTTTGGTGCTTAGCAACCATTATTGGGGTTACCTTGGAATTCACGAGTGGGACAAAAAGACAGGAAAAGAGATTTTCTGAGGATAACCGAGTAGGAATTGAAAGAAAGAAGAGTAGGGAGGTGGCATATGCACTTAAGAGAGATTTGTCTTGTTAAAAATAAATTCTGGAGGGATATTCATTGAATTACTGACGGTGGTCACCCTTGTGGGGTGGGATTATTGAGTGTTTTTACAGTTTAAACATCCATGTCTTTTGAACTTTTTACAACAAGCATGTGTTGCTGTTATCATCAGAAGAGGGGAAAAGGAATATTTGGTGCTAGAATAAAAATGCTTGGAATCAAGATACTGCCTGAAAGGCAGTTCATCTAGCAGCAAAAAACAAAGTAAAGAGAAAATGTGGGCATCAGCTGGTGTGACCAATCCTGCACAGCTTGGCTGCAGGGCACCCTAGTGGTCAGGGGTCCCAGCTGCCTGGGAATCCACGGGGAATGAGGAACCAGTGTTTAGCAAGCACCTTTCATGGTTGAGCGGTCATAGTGAGTTCTCAATGCAGGTGAGTTAATATTGGGTGGACCTGGTTCATGAATGACCAAATCTGGTTCTTAGCTTTTTAATTTAAGAGGCAGAGTCTCCCTCTGTCACCCAGGCTGGAGTGTGGTGGCATGATCATAGTTCACTGCAGCCTCAAACTCCTGGGCTCAAGAGATCCTCCCACCTCAGTCTCCCAAGTAACTGCGACCACAGGCAGCTAATTAAAAAAAAAAAAAAAAAAGTTTGTAGAGACAGGGGGATCTCACTATGTTTCCCATACTGGTATTGAACTCCTGGTCTCAAGCAGTCCTCCCACCATGGCCTCCCAAAATACTGGCATTAGAGATTTGAGCCATCGTGACTGGCCCTTAGCTAAATTTTACAGTCACTAGAGATTAACTTTCTTTTCTTGCCTTATTTTCGTTTTCCATATTAGTAAGAGAGGCAATTTTTTAAAAGGGGAAGGAAAACTAGTATTTGTGGAGGGTCTGCTAGGTATCAGGCCCTGGGCACAGCTATCAACAAACATTACTTCCTTAATCATTAGGAGAACTTTGTTTTTCTGAGACGGAGTCTTGCTCTGTCGCTCAGGCTGGAGTGCAGTGGCGTGATCTTGGCTCACTGCAACCTCCACCACCTGGGTTCAAGCAATTGTCCTGCCCCAGCCTCCGGCGTAGCTGGGATTACAGGCACTCGCCATCATGCCTGGCTAACTTTTGTATTTTTGAAGAGACTGGGTTTCACCATGTTGGCCAGGCTGGTCTTGAACTTCTGACCTCAGGTGATCCACCTGCCTTAGCCTCCCAAAGTGCTGGGATTACAGGCTTGAGCTACCACACCTGGCCAAGAGTTTTTAATGTATCTTTCGAGGTAATGAAACCATGCCTCAGAAAGGTTGGGTAAGTTGGGAATGGCTATGTGTGTAGTAAGGGGTAGAGTTGAATTCGATCCCAGGCCTATCTGAAGTTCATGCTTGTGGTTTCTCTACTACATCACACTGCTTTACAGTAATTTCAGTCCTTCATTATTAAGCAGTAATTACTGAGCTTCTGTTGTAACAAAGGCCCTTCTATATAGGCACCTACTGGCTTAGTCCTCTGGAATATATCTTCTATGTGGCGCCACAAGGCATGTATACATGCATGAAAGCTTGGATAAGAATATGACTTAAATAACACAAAATGAAAGGATAATGCCGTAATGCTTAGTGTCACAGTGGATTCTAATATAAGGAGTACCTTGTTGTCTCTGATTTTTCTGAGCGGCCTTAGTAGCCAAGTGTCCTTTATTTGTGAAAACCCAAGATTCATCAACCATGAAGGATTTGCTGGTTCTCTAAGTCAAAAGATTTGGCTTAAATATGTTGATAAAGTGCTTCAGATTCCTTAAGTGATAGAAAAACAAGTTAGAGAATTTGGAGAGGAGCCAATCTGCCAAGTGGTTTGTGGCTATACAGTGATTGAATTTGAAAATGCAGTTTATTCAGGAGAATGGTTTTGTTCAGAATATAAACTTCTAACAATATTCATGCCTGTCAGAAAAGCAAATGGATTTGAACATGCAATGGTGTTTTCTTTCTTTTCCTATTCCCATACTGTTTTAAATTCTTTCCAGTCTTTGATCTTTTAAAATATAAATTGCAATAATAAATTATTTAGAAGAGTTCAGTGTTGGGCTTTTTAAGTTACAATGATTGGTCTTACATTATAGATTTTGCAGACTTTTCTGCACATACTGTTTCTGTAACCTGCTTATTTAACTTAGACCATGTCTTCTGGGTCTCTTTCCATGTCAATGAGTTGAAGTCTACATTATCTTTTTTTTTTTTTGAGACAAAGTCACTCTGTTGCCCAGGCTGGACTGCAGGGGTGCGATCTCAGCTCACTGCAACCTCCGTTTCCCAGGTTCAAGAGATTCTCCTGCCTCAGCCTTCCGAGGACCTGGGATTACAGACACCCACCACCACGCCAGGCTAATTTTTGTATGTTTAGTAAAGACAGGGTTTCACTATGTTGGCCAGGCTGGTCTCGAACTCCTGACCTCAAGTGATCCACCCGCCTTGGGCTCCCAAAGTGTTGGGATTACAGGCGTGAGCCACAGCGCCCGGCCTACGTCATCATTTTTAATGACTGTATAGTATTTCTTCACGTGTTACACCGTAATTGATTCAAACAATCAAAATTATATGTAGATGAAGTAATGTATGTATGAGAATTTAGGGCTTGGACTAAGGTGACACAAGTGAACATTGCAGGGTGTGACCTAAAGAGAGAGCACCTCTTAAATTCCATACCATGGGCTCCTTGCTAGCTCTACCCTGGTCCTATCCCTGCAAGGATGGTTATCTAGTAGTATTTATAATCATTTAAAAAATTAGTGTCATTTGACTTGTTTTCAGTTTTGACCCTATTGTAAACCAAATTGCAGTTAAAAGCCTTGTGCAATTATTTTATTATTATTATTTTTTTTTTGAGACACAGTTTCATTCTTGTTGCCCAGGCTGGAGTGCAATGGTGCCATCTCAGCTCACTGCAACCTCCGCCTCTTGGGTTCAAGTGATTCTCGTGCCTCAGCCTCCCAGCTAGCTGGGATTACAGGTGCCCACCACCATGCTTGGCTAATTTTTTGTATTTTTTAGTAGAGGCGGGGTTTCGCCATGTTGACCAGGCTGGTCTGAAACTCCTGACCTCAGGTGATCCACCCACCTCGGCCTCCCAAAGTGTTGGGATTACAAGCATGAGCCACCATGCCCGGCCAATTATTTTATAGTTATATAATTATTTTCTCAAGGAAAATTCCTACAATTAGAAATTCCTGGCCAATGGCAAGTGGTCCCTAATATTTATTGCCAAATTATTCTCCCACATATATGTTGTACTGATTCATACTCTCACAGTGTCTTAAATGCTTTAGGCTATTTGGTGATAATTATGAACTAGGAAAATAAGAGTTTTAGGGAAATGGTGCATGATTTGAATGCACATTAATATTCATGACATTGATTGTTTAAAAATACTTTGCCGTCTGCTGAACAAGCAGGAAAATAAAAACAACCCACAGAAATCATCCTTTTTGCAAAAGAAAACCATTTATCAGTTCTACCTTTTTTTTTTTTTTAAGACTGGGTCTTGCTCTGTCACCCAGGCTGGAGTGCAGTGGCACGATCTCGGCTCACTGCAAGCTCCGCCTCCCAGGTTCACGCCATTCTCCTGCCTCAGCCTCCCGAGTAGCTGGGACTACAGGCGCCCACCACCACAGCCGGCAAATTTTTGGTATTTTTAGTAGAGACGGGGTTTCACCATTTTAGCCAGGATGGTCTCTATCTCCTGACCTCATGATCCGCCTGTCTCGGCCCCCAAAGTGCTGGAAATACAGGCGTGAGCCACCACGCCCGGCTCCAATTCTGCCTTTGATCTATTTGATGTACCAAGAAATTTGTTTAAATTGCCTCTTTGGGGTTGGATATGACATATTTTGGATGGGGTTGGTGGGGCATTGAGGTCACCTTAACTGAAACCAGTAATGCAGCTGAAATGTATGATAGAAGATTCTAGGTCTGGATGTAGAAAAGACACATTGGAGCTGTTTCTTATTGTCAGAGCTGTGCACTGATGTAAATACTTTTGTGAGCTGGAGGTTGCCAGGGCAACAGTCCTATTAATGAAGAATAAACCTCATTTATTATCAGTGCCAGAATAATTATTTTTTAAATAAATGTACCCAGTGGTCTAACACTGACATTCTCAATCTACCTACTCATCTTTCCTTCCCAGATTGCAAAACTATTTAGCCTTATTCAATAAGCATGCCTCCTTTCTCCGCCAATGAGAGTAAAATCATTGAAAAAAATCAGTAAAATGTAAGGGCATTAAAAATGCTAATTTTTAACAATTACCTAATATAAAATTATTGCCCTTTTGATTTGTGCTTTGGCTAAGGTAGAGCCTGAAATCAACTGTGATTTGGTTGGTATTTGAGCAGGCCAGAGTCTTTAAATTAACTTGTCTTTACGATTTAATGGAATATTGCCAACATATTCGTTAAGTAAGTGGAGTGTGACATTACTGCTTCCTTCCTCCCATCAGACTGTAAATTTAGACTCCGTTTTATTGTGCACACATGGACACTTCAGAAAGGCAGCTGTGGCTGAGTTGTAGCCTTTATTAAATCTCTTGTCTTGAGGAGCCCGAGAATTGTGTTAAGGGAGACAGTGGTTCCAAATGACTGAGGACCAAGCAGGGTACGTTCTGGATTTTAGAGGAAAGGAAATCTTCTATCCAAAAAAAAAAAATAATAATAATAACATTTCCCTTTTCATTTTCTTTTTTGTGAAAATGTTTCTTGTGTTTTGTCAAGCTGAGCAAATGGGAAAACTTACCTTTTCAACCATGGGTCATATCAACAAACCTCCTGTCCAGGTTGGGTGTTTGCTGTCTGCTCCACACAGTTCACACCTTATCACTTGTTACTCACATGCACTAATGATTCTGTGTTCCTGTCTTGTTTCCCCTGATTTATATCTAATTTAGCATCTCAGCACATAGTAGGTATTCAGAAAATACTTTTTTTTTTTTTGAGACAGAGTCTCGCTCTGTCACCCAGGCTGGAGTGCAGTGGTGTGATCTCTGGTCACTGCAACTTCCGCCTCCCGGGTTCAAGCGATTCTCCTGCCTCAGCCTCTCGAGTAGCTGGGATTACAGGAACCCGCCACCACGCTCAGCTAATTTTTGTATTTTTAGTAGAGACGGGGTTTCTCCATATTGACCAGGCTGCTCTCAAACTCCTGACCGCAGGTGATCCACCAGCCTCAGCATCCCTAAGTGCTGGGATTACAGGCGTGAGCCACCACGCCCTGCCCAGAAAATACTTTTTGATTATAAAATTGTGTAATAAGTTTCTGTTTCACTCAGGTCTTTTCAATAGATTTTTTTCTGATAATGAAAAAAAATGTTTGACATAGGAAAAATAGACAATCCATATTTGAAAAAGAGAACAAAAACCATTCAGAATCCCACTACTTGAAGGTAACTTCCACTGATACCATGGCATGTTTATTTCATAAGGACATTATTTGAAAGTCTAAAAAACCCAATCATTGTACAGTCTGTTTTCTCCTTGATACGATAGAATCACAACGTAATCTGTGCTGACTGTGTGTGTAGGGCAAGTGGCACCTGCCAAGCCCTAGCAGGGTATAGGTATTTCAGATGAGATATTAAAATGCCGACTAATGATGGGACCAGTCACAGACCAAGAAAAGCTGGCCCTTCTGTCTCACCATGGCAATTTCAGATTCAACCACAAATAGCAGGCAATCTGATTTCTCATTTCTTAACTCTTCGCGTTAGACTGTGTTACTGACAAAACAGATTTTACCCTCAGAATAAGTTTTCGCACAAGCAGACGTATATGTTTCTTTGTCGATGGCACTTCTGGCTTACTTCTTTGTGCCACTTCCTAATGGCACACTGGGAAGAGAGTAATTTCCCAAACTTATCAGGCAAAATAGGAAAAAGGCCATGGGAACCCAACAAGTCATAGCAAAGAAACATTCCGTACTTCTTTATTTTATTCTTGGCTATGACAGCACAAAGGGGGCAGTTTGGATGTTGGTTTAATGCCCCACTCCATCTCTATGACACCTCCAACCATCCCCAAATAAATATGCTAAAAATAACAATAATAAGCACAAAGAATAAAATCGTATGTAGTTAGTATAAGCATCTTTAGAGGACTTTGCTATTTTTCATAAGCAGAAGCAATCCAAGTAAAACAGCGCACTTATCAGAGAGTTTCTTAGTGACTTCCCATATCACAGTTTCACTGTCCTTTCCCCCAGATAACTGTCTCTGAGCCCCTCTCACATAAGTATTTATCACACTCACCCTCACCTCACCCGTAGTCTCCCTACATATGTCAGTTCATGGGGAGATGAACTGGAATGGAAGTTCCATAACATTGCCTGAATAAGTCCTTTCTAGTTTTAAAAAAAAGTGGAGGAGGGGGCCACATATTTTAACTCACAGGACTGATAGCAAAAGTTGGGAAGATACAGGGATGTTATGGTTTCTCCATCAACTACTTATAAATCAACATTGGTTGGGTTTAACTTTTAATAATTTATACTCCGTTCAAATCCTCACCATGTTGTTCCATTCATTCTTCCATCTGCTCAGCAGATCTTGAGCACCTGTTGTGTGGCAGGCAATGGGCAGGGTGGAAACTGAGATTTGAAGGTGAGGTGGGACTTTGAAGTAGAGACTTGGAAGAATGCTAGAGGGAGCAGACTAGGACAAAACCAATGATGGCATGGAACACTACTGATGACTTTGTAGAACTTCTCTATTGAGGTCTAGATGGTGTAGACTAAGGAACTGCCTTTTTCCTGCCTTTCCATTATTGATTTGTTGCATGATTGGTATCACTTGGAACTGTGTATCGGGAAAAGACAAATGCCTATGAAATCCATCTGCGTCTTGTTTTTGAGGATGGTCATATGCCCCATCTGTTGTTCTTTGAGCCCTCACCAGTAAAGTCAGCTCCCGTAATTAATTTTCAGTCACGTTGCCTTGACCACAGTGAACGGAATCCTTATCAAACGGTTAATACATGTAAGTTGTCTGCTATATGCAAAACCCCATGCTAGGCTCAGCAGAGGATACAGAAGAAGGGAACAGGAAATCTTGGCTCTTTAGGGATGGAGAGTGTCATTGAGGAAGCAGTGAAGACACTATTCCCACAAAGTTAACCCACAGTGGTAATTAGTACGGGATTAGGGAGAGGGCAGTAGGCTCAGGTCAGTAGACCCAACTCTAATCCTACATTTGTCCACCAATCTTGGGAAATTCACTAACCTCTCCAGGTCTTGATTGCTTTTTTGGAGAGGCGGAGACCTGTCTCTGGGTAAATAAATATATTTATTGTCCCAGGGCTCTTTCTCTTTTTATTCTTTTTTTTTTTTTTTTTTCCTTGCCCAGGCTGGATTGCCATGGCGTGATCACGGCTCACTGCAGCCTCAGCCTCCTGGGCTCAAGCAACCCTCCCACCTCAGCCTCCCACCTCAGCCTCCCACCTCAGCCTCCCGAGTAGCTGGAACCACAGGCAGGTGCCACCATGCCTGGCTAATTTTTTAATTTTTATAGAGACAGGGTTTTACCATGTTGCCCAGGCTGGTCTCAAACTCCTGGGCTGAAGAGATCCACCCACCTCAGCTTCCCAAAGTACTGGGATTACGGGCATGAGCCACTGCGTCCGGCTCAGGGCTCCTTCAAGCAGATCCCTGGGATGCATGGGAGACCACCGTGACTGGAGCAGAGGGTACTTGGAGAGGAGTCGTGGCCGTGACGCTAGAAGATGAGGGTCCAGTTGTACAGGGCTTTGGAGGCCAGGCAAAATTCTAGACTCATCCAAGCCTTTTATAAGAAATGAGAGCTCTTGAAGTGATTATAAAAACATAAGTGTCCAGGCGCTGGCTGAGTAGGGATGTGATGAGGCATTCTGTCCTCGGCCTGCAGCCTCTGCTCCCAAACACCATTAGCACATTTTTACCCTGGGGTCTTGTTTTCTTTCCTTTCACTCTTCTTTTGTAATCTCCCATTATCATGGCTGCCCTGTGCTCAGCAGAGAGGCAAAGTGCTCATGTGGCTTCTTTATAAATACTTTTGGGTGGTGATAGTTCCCATGACTGGCTTAACTCTGCTCACTTGTCTTCTTCCATTAGGTAAGTGGTAGTAGCTCTGAAGTCAGTCTTGCTGATATGTTTCAAAAGAACATTGGCTTGACGCAATTATATCCAGCTCTCATGATCTGCATTGTTTTCATTTTCTTTTGCCAAACTTTTCCGTTTTCTATGCTTCAAGTCTCTCTCTGGGCAATAAAAGAGAACTTGGAAAGAATCAGGATTTAGGAATTCTTGCTTCAGCTTTGACACTTGGGCAGAGAGCTTTATTTTTTCTAGACATTCATCCCGTCACTTAAAAAAAATGCAAGGATTGAACGAAATGAGCCCCTTCGGATGGTATGAGTGCATGGTTTTGTTACAGTAGGTTGTTAGTCAGACATGAGCAGGGCAGGAGAGCCCCCGCTCCAGGAATGTCAGGCCACCATCAAGTGATGGTCCAGAGGTTGTTAACTGTCTCGCTAAAATAATAATTGGTCTCAGCTGGCACCAAGGAACGGCAATCTCCCAATAAATAGGAAAAACCTGAAACTAGTGATAAGGCCCTGATAAGATCTAAGCTTATAAGGAGACTCAAGCATGAGCACTAAGAGGCAAAATGGTGGAGTTTAACTGGTATATGACCTTCCTCTAGGAATGCTCTACTGGTAAGGAAAAAAAAAAAATGCCTCAAGCGAGCATGCGCACAACTTAAATTACACACTGTGTGTGGTCCCTCCCAAGGGCTGGCAGGTGTGCATATGGACAGCCCACCCCGAGGGAAGAATCAGGAGAAGAGATACAGACCCAGGAAGAATGCTAACATGTAGAACCCCAAATCAAAGGGCAGATCACACACTTGAAACTCTCAAGTCACCCGCTTGGCCCTCTTCCAAGTGTACTTTACCTCCTTTCATTCCTGCTCTAAACTTTTTTTTTTTTTTGAGACAGAGTCTCGCTCTGTCGCCCAGGCTGGAGTGCAGTGGTGCAATCTCAGCTCACTGCACTCTCCGCCTCCCGGGTTCATGCTGTTCTCCTGCCTCAGCCTCCCAAGCAGCTGGGACTACAGGCGCCCACCACCATGCCCGGCTAATTTTTTGTATTTTTAGTAGAGATGGGGTTTCACCATATTAGCCAGAATGGTCTTGATCTCCTGACCTTGTGATCTGCCCTCCTCGGCCTCCCAAAGTGCTGGGATTACAGGCGTGAGCCACCGCGCCCAGCCTAAACTTTTTAATAAACTTTCCCTCCTGCTCTCAAACTTGCCTCAGTGTCTCTCTCTGCCTGTGCCCCTCGGTTGAATTCTTTCTTATGAGGAAGCAAGAACTGTGTGGTTGCTGCTGACTTGTACAGATTTGCTGCTGCTAACAGTTTTGTAGTGGATGGCCTCTGAGCTGTTTTGTTAATTCATCTGCTAATGAAAATGGAATAGAAACGAAAGACAGAATATATGAGGTATCATTTAGGCCAGTGGTTTTGAAAGTGCAGTGTCCAGACTTGAAGCATCAGCCTCACCTGAGAACTTGTAGAAATGCGAATTCTCGGGCCAACCCAAATCTACCGAATCAGAAACTCCGGAGATGCGACTCAACAATCAGTTTTAAGAAAGCCTCCAGTTGATTCTGATGGACACACAGAACCACTGATTCAAGCCTTCTGCGAGGTGCATAATATGTCAACTCAGATATCTTTCTTATTCTGAAAAGATACAGAAACGGGGTTGGTGCTTATGTTCATGTTTACAAAATCAAGCATCTTCAGTCTTGTTTTAAGCAAAATCATGAAATGGGTGAAATTTGTCTTTAGCATTCTATTACCTCTTTTTGGGGCTCATTTCTTGTCTCAATTTCATCTGTCAGGTTCTTCTTTACCTCTTCATTGGCAGAAACTCTAGGGACTTTTCCTTTAGGGTAGAGTAGAGGACCCTAAACAACAAATCTGAAAACACAGTGTCTCTAATTATGAAAAACAGGGCATCAGTAGACCAACTGGGGAGGTATGTGAGGATGGCATTGGCAGTAGGGCCTGCAAATTGCACTGAGTACACAGATGCCCATTCTTCCATCTTTAGAGGAAGAGGGGCCCCTTCCCTTTGCTGTCTGGTTCTCAAGAAGAGGGCTGATGCAGTTTCAGAAGGATCTGGAAATGCCTTTAGCACAAGCATCCAGGGTGGATGCTTTTGCCATCTTCCAAGTATTGCCTGTGGCCTTTCCCCCCGTTGTGCCTGTTCATTTTGCCATCCACATGGGACTTTGCAGCCTGTAGTTCTTCCAGTGAAACAATGCAAAGCTTTGATGAGTATCCAGAAATCAACTGGGCTTCCCTAGGGAGCCAGCTGTCTTTCCTGAGGGGATTAGATGGAAATAAGTCATATTTCACTAGTGTCTGCTGGCTCCCAAGGATGGTTTTAAACTGATTTCTGAAATTCATTCCCCTGTTCTTCATCCTAAGACCACACGGCAATAGATGTTCCACCAGCCTATCTGAGAACCCCGGTTGCTGGTGTGATAACTGATAAAGTTCAAACAGAATGCACAGACTTGACTTTGTCAAAATTATCCCTTTCCTCTCTGCACACACATGCTCACAGGCAGATAGATGCACATGTTCACCCACAAAGGTTGCCCAGGCTTTCTGAGCCCTGCACACATGTGATGGACAAACTCAGCAAAACCCCTCGATTATTTGTCGTTACTGAAAACCCCTACGTTTGGCTTTTTCTTTCACAGTGTTTTGAACTGCCTGAGTGAGCCAAATTCTCCCTTTGAAGTTACCAGACTCAGCAGGTTCGGTAAAATTGCTCCTAAATAGGATGCTGTCTGGTTGAAGGGACTCATGGAACTTTCCAGAAGGAAGAAGCAAGAGGATCGGAAGTTGGAATGAAAGTCCTTTGACATGTCGACCGATAAGGTTAAAAACGAATGTAGATTAGAGTCTGCTAATTATGCCCAGAGTTCCAGGAAGCTGAAAGAAGTACACAGTCAAATTCTCAGAAAGGTTTTGTCTACATAAGCAAAATGGAAGGGAGAGTTGAAGCAGATATCTCAATATTGGGCCATTCTCCACCCCAACCTCAACTTCTATTGTTCCCATGAAACACCATTTGGAGGAAGAGACTAATTAATGAAATTGGCCATCTTTGCTCATCAGACCTGCCAGAAAATTGCTCTATTAGCAACAGGCTAAATGTTGTTACTAGAGAAAGTAAAAAGGCTAATGATCATGCTCATCTTGGGATAACTACAAAAATATTGTTAATGCCACCTCTGAGCTACAATTTTAACTGCAGAAGTCAGACCATCTGAATTACTGTTTCCACAGCAACTACAATTCAGTCGGCTCTGCAAGGCTTGTCATAGATGAGGACGTTACCTCTATATTATCGTTGCTGGGGAAAAGTGCACTTATTTTATTTATAGCCAAGCTGTGCAAAGTTGTATTTTGTAGTCTTTTATTTGGAAATGTGGTCATTAGAGACCGACAAAAGTCCTTCTGAATCACTGAAATATATGTTTTGATACAAGGAAAAATACTGCATAGCTCAGAGCTTCCCATTCATAATGTCATAATGGCCTCCAGGGCAGTGAGATTTGAAAGCCCTCTATTCTTCCCTAATGAATATTCAAAATTTGAGATCTTGAGCAGTATATCCCAGCAATCAGGCTACCAGGATAAAGAGAAAGAAGATGGTGTACTCCAAAATGGCTTTGAGAAAAACATACACTAATTTAAACAGTCAAGAGACTTATATCTGTTGTGTTAATGATGATTGAATTTGTGATTTTAAATGTAAATAGTCTACAAATCTTGGTTTGATTTCAAGCATTTTCTTCTCAGTGGGAAAAAATACCCTTGGATGAGAAGTGACAAGGAATGTTAGAAACAAGAATAAGGTGTTCGTTCATTTCATTTATGTTTTGGAACATTTGTCAGATGCCAAAACGTTAATACGAAGTGGTTTGACAAAAACTAGTCATTTTCCAGTTAACACATGTACCTTACAGAAAATTATCTGATATTGACACGGGGATGAAATTAACCTAATCCTCCTGTTATTTTGTTGTTTTGGTATCTGTTTTTGAAAATGTATTAAGCTAGTTCTTGCCTATTTACTAGAGAAGTCAGTCACATCCAAGATTGCAGAGAGATAGAAACTGCCCATAAACAGATGTGGAGCTAAAAAGAAGGAGATTAAAAATGAAATTATGTATAGAAGAATATAAACTCATGACCAAATAAAACCGAATCACAGAATTTTTCCCTCCCCACAAAGGAGCAAAAAAAAAAAAAAAGAAAGAATTAAAGAAAAACACCTCACTAGTAGTAAGCAAACAAAAAACCCATAACCTAAAGCAATACATTTTAGTAACTGGTGGCTGAGTGGCTTTTGATTTCTAACCCTGTCCCCAAAACGCCTTAAAGACATTCCTTAGGGGAAACGAAATCAGGAAAGGAGAATATGAAGCAAGAAAAAAACACCATGGACTGCTTCTGTTTATAGATGTAAAGCCCTCATGTCTAGGTTTTGAATCAGAGAAATGATCTAAAGTCGGAAGGGACCACTCCATCCGAATGGCATGTGTTCCAAGAATGGGGAGTGAATCCTGGTTTGGGGCATTTAGCAAATTCCCAGAAGAATGAGCAGCACTTGAAGACACAAATAAAGACTGGACATCACCTCAGCCAAATTCTTCCTCTCCCTGTTCTAGCAGGCCTTAAAGAATAGAGAGCAGAAAGCATTTAGCCCCCAGATTCTGGCTTGAAAGGGCAAAGAAGCTGATCTCCAATATGATGGCAAGGAATCACCCACATTTTATCAGAAAAATTAAAATATGTGCAAGATGGAAAGAGCCAATGTGGCAGCTACAAGTAATGTGTCAGAAAGGAGGCTAGCATGCAAAGTAGAAAGACAGGGGCTTACCCTTGAAGAAAATAGTATTTAAGGAACAGAAACAGGTTCCTCAATAAGAAGATAACTTGTACTCTTAGAATTTAACAAGATTATAAAAAGTATTTTTAAAATAGCCTAAAGACAAGGTGATAAAACAAGAATGAAATGAAAAAGGAAATTTAAAGTCTGACAAATCAAGAATTAAATACATTAATGCAAAAAAGATATGTAAATTAGAAATGATAACATATATGAGACCTGTTGAAAATTTGTTTACTAACAATAGAAAAAGTATTCTTATAATCACAGAGAATGCAGATAACAAACAAGGAGATTAAAGACAGAGAGACTCTAAAAGATATTAAGACATTCAAATATTCTACACTATGAGGATAATAATTGGGTCCCTGAATAGAGACTCTAACAAAAGGAACAGAAGAGACACTGAAAGATGTGATAAAATTTCCCAGAAATGAAGAAAGGACTAAACCTATTCCAGGAAATATACTATGGAATGTTCAAAACGCAAACATATCTTAGTGAAGCTATTAAACCTCAAGGATAAAGAAATAATTCTTGAGATATCAAATCAGAATAAGTCAATTTCCTACAAGGGAGAAAAAAATCAAGCTAGTCTCAGATGTCACCATTGCCACATCTGGGGCCACGCTCTCTGAAAATGGAGAGAGAAAGTGACCCAAGGATATTATATCCCATCAAGATCTTGTTAAAATATAAAGACAACAGGGAGACGTGCTTCAACCTGAAAGAACTAAAAAACAACTGAGAGCTTGTTGAAGAAAATACACAATAATGAATGCCTGGCCAGTTAAAAAAAAATAAAATTAACTCAGAAACGGAGAAGTTATGATGAGAATCATTAGGTTTGCATAAATGCAGAACTAATACTTAACAACTGTGTACACTAATACTACAGATTGAATATTATTGCTATCAGTTTGGAGAAAATAAAAATAATAACTAAAAACCATGGAAGATAGGGATCAGAGATGGAAAAAGTGTAAGTACTTATGTTCTCATCTTTCCCAGCAAGAAGTCAGTCAATACTATCTAGAATTATAACATGTCATTTTAGAGTGCAAATACATAATTATCCCAGTCTCAACATTTTATAATCTTTTTTTTAACCTTAGAATGATCTTTTAGGACATAAAAACTATTATGGTGCAGAAACTTTTCTTTGAAGTTTAACAGTTCTTTTTCATTTACATCTCTACGATTCAATCATAACTAAAATGTATGCTTTTTAAGTCTCTCTGCATATATTCTTAAAAGGAGGTTACAATGATGTTCATTTAATGATTATTTCTAGGTTGTGAGGCATTATTTTAAAACTCTAATCTTTGCTGGGTGTGGTGGCTCATGCCTGTAATCCCAGCACTTTGGGAGACCAAGACAGGAGGATCGCTTGAGCACAAGAGTTTGAGACCAGCCTGGACAACATAGCAAGAACTTACCTCTACTAAAAAATTCAAAAGTTAGCCGAGTGTGGTGGTGTGCGCCTGTGGCCCCAACTACTCAGGAGGCTGAGGCAGGAGGATTGCTTGAGCCCAAGAGTTGGAGGCTTCCGTGAACCAAGATTGCACCACTGCACTGCAGCCTGGGTGACAGAGTGAGACCATGTCTCTAAAACAAACAGACAAAAAAAGAAAAACAAACAAAACAACAAAAAAAAAAACCCTGTAATCTTTGAAACCTTTTTTTTTTTCTTTTTTTGAGACGTAGTCTCCCTCTGTCACCCAGTCTGAAGTCTGAAGCGCAGTAGCACAATCTCGGCTCACTGCAGCCTCTGCCACCCAAGTTCACATGATTCTCCTGCCTCAGCCTCCCAAATAGCTGGGACTACAGGCATGCACCACCATGCATGGGTAATTTTTGTGTTTTTAGTAGAGACAGGGTTTCACCATGTTGGCCAATCTGGTCTTGAACTGCTGACCTCAGGTGATCCACCCACTTTGGCCTCCCAAAGTGCTGAGATTACAGGCATGAGCCGCCATGCCTTGCCTAATCTTTGAAACTTTCTGCATTTAAAAAAAAACTATTCCAAGTCAGTATGCTTTATCTTACAAGAATAACTGCATGAATTTTCTTAAAAACTAGAAAAAAATGCCAAAATGGTTAATCCTGGGTGATCTGGATATTTTTTCTTGGTACACTTCTGTAATTTTTTTAATTTAAAAAATTAACAAGGCCAGGCGTGGTGGCTCACACCTGTGATCCCAGCACTTTGGGAGGCCAAGGTGGGCGGATCATGAGGTCAGGAGATCGAGACCATCCTGGCGAACACTGTGAAACCCCGTCTCTACTAAAAATACAAAAAAATTAGCCAGGCGTGGTGGCGGGCGCCTGTAGTCCCAGCTACTCGGGGGGCTGAGGCAGGAGAATGGCATGAACCTGGGGGGCGGAGCTTGCAGTGAGCTGAGATCGCACCATTGCACTCCAGCCTGGGCAACAGGGCGAGACTCCGTCTCAAAAAAAAAAAAAAAAAAAAAAAAAAAAAAATTAACATAACAAAAAAAGAAAAAAGAACCAAAAAAACCCACAAAAATTAACAAATTAGTTGAATGAGTCAAGGGTGAAGGTAAGAGAATATGTGTTTGAGGCCATTCCTGCTTACACGTCTCCTTGTGGGGTGTTGAGTCCAGGTGGGGCCCCCTCTACCAGGGCCCAAATGGCACTGACATCTCTCCTGGGCCCATCTTAATGATTAGAAGCCACTGGCTTTCAGTGAGCATATCTAAATGGTGATGGCTTAAGGGACAATTCTCTTTCCTCTAGAAGGTGTAGAATAGAATGTGGGCACAGTGTGAAAGAGGGTAAGAGAGAGACAGGCTTTGAAAACAAGTGCACTTTGGGGCTCAAACATTTTTTAACAGCTTTATTGAAATATAATTCACATGTCATAATATTCATCTTTTTGAAGTGTATGATTCAGTATATTCACCAAGTTTTGAAACCATCATCACTATTTCCCGAACATTTTCACCACCCCCAAAAGAAACCCCATACCCATTAGCAGTTCACTCCCCATTCCTCCCTCCCAGCAGCCCCAGCACCCACTGCTCTGTAGTGGTTTCTGTCTCTATAGATTTGCTTCTCCTGGACATTTTATATAAATGGGATCATACAAATGTACTCTTTTGCGACTGACTTCATTCACTCAGCGTAATGTTTTCAAGGGTCACCTATGTCGTAGCAGGTGTCAGTACCTTGTCTCTTTTTCATGCTGAATAATATTCTGTGGTATGGATATATCACATTTTGTTTATTGGTTCATGAGTTGATGGATATTCGGGTTGTTCCCATGTTTTGGTTATTATATGATGCTGTTACGAACATTCATTTACAAGTTTTTGTGTGAAGATATATTTTCATTTTTCTTGGGTATATACCTACGGGTGGAATTGCCAGATTATATGGTAACAATTTTTAGGAGTCAAACATTGAAACTGCCATCTTCCTCTTTGTTCCCAGGCAGAAATGGTGCACAGTGCTTTCCAGGCCCAGCGGGCTTTCCTTCTGATGGCCTCTCAGTACCAACAACCCCACGAGGTAAGAGAGTGTCCTGAGAGGGAAGGTGTCCCAGGGTATGCGCAGTGTAAGATGGAAAACAAGGAGGCAACAGAAGCATTTATTATAGTCGACCTCCTAAAAATGAGACTTACAGCACGTGTATGTTCTGTCTCTAATCTGGATCATGGTATAGAACAATTCTTCTCTCTCCTAATCTCATTAATAGTAGACAAGTTTTTTTTTTTTAAGTATGCCATTTGCGAAAAAAAAAAGAAAGAAAAAAAGCAATGTGTCTTCTTACTACTAATATATCATTATGGCCAAATTCTTACTGTAACAAATGGACATTACCAGTTTAAAAGGTGAGTTGACTTGTGTGATCTTTATACTAGTCTCACAACCTTTTTATAATCAAGGAAATGTTTATAACTAATTTTTAGCTCAGATTTTGAGCTGCTTTGTTACCAAAGACTGTTCACATCTATGATCATCTCTAACCTCCATGTATGGATTTTATTAGCTCCTATTTCCTAAGTAGCGTAGATGGGCTAAATTGGTGGTTAAGTGTTTTGTGTTTATGGGTCGTCTACGGAGCTTCATTGCAGTTTCTGGTTCATCAGGCCTGGATTGTGTCCCAAGATTCTGCTTTTTAATAAGCTCCTGCGTGATGCCCATGCTGCTGATCCTCATTCTCAAAACACCAAAATTGGAAAGAGTTTTCATGACTCTATAAGAACTTAGGTATAGTCCATCTCGCCTTTCTCTTCCACCATAAATATGAATGAACTTTTCTTAGGTTAAAGATATTTAGAGGTGTTAGAGGATCTGATGCTAACTGCAACAATATTACCAATGTAGTAATTTTAACAACTTTTAATCTATTGTAAAATTACCAAGTAAGGCCCATGGTAAATTTTAATACAGAAGGAATCAAATTGTGAGAACAGATGTTAAGAGCAAATTAATGGTTGGCGGAGGTCCGTCTCATTCCCCAGGCCCTGAAAATTTTCGATTCTCTAAACCAAAGCGTGATCACCACCTGCCCAAACTACTGACATTGTATCATGCAAATAACTGCATTCCCTCTACCAAGGGTTCATAATAACAACTTTTGACAATGCTGATTGTGTCACGAATGAAATTATTCATTAAAAAGTAGTGGCACTACCAGCATACTTTGTTTTATCAGAAAAAAATAAAAATTGTTATTTTGGCTAAATATTCTGCATCCGAAGTTTAAGAACATTTATATAAATAAAAAATAAATTGAGCATATGTTATGACACAATAGCTTAAATGTAATAACTCACTTTGAATTATGAAACAAACTCCTGAAATTGAAAATTTTGAGCTAAGAATCCTGGGAATCCAGAACTTTGACCTTCAGGGGATGACACTCAGCTCCATAAAGAGGCAAGACCAGAGACCTGAGACCCTCCCTGGAACGGACATTCCCAGCCATGCTTGTGCAGTAGAATCACCTGCAAAATTTTAAAAAATACCAGTACCTGGGTCCCAACCCAAGGGACTGTGACTTCATTGGTCTGAGGAGTGGCCTGTGCTTTGAGATTTCTATGGGCTTCACGGGTGATTCTGACTTTCAACCAGAGCTGTCAGCCCCCACCCAAGATGGATATATCACCTCCCTCCACGTGAAAGGAGTTAGCTCACAGCCTAGGTAGGAGGCTCTGTAGAGATGAAAATATTCCGTGTTCCACCATGGATGCATTTTCCTCCTTGCTCTTCTCAATCTCTGCTTTGCAGAAGAGCAAAATGAAACTGGGAAATCACAAAGCGATGTGTTGTAGATTCAGCCTTAGCCTGCCTTTTCTGTGAAGTGGGAGGAGAGGTGGTCCAATTGAGATTCTCAGGTAGAAGAAGAACTGTGACTTTCCTCACTGGGTTACCACTCCATCCCTTCCCTAAGCCTCAGAACAAGAGGCCTCTCCAATGGCTTTGCAGGCCTTAGACAAAAAAGCCACTCACTAAATATTGAATGAAAATGTAAGTGAATGAACAATGGATGAATGCATTGGGTCTGTGGCATTCCAGCATGAGCCATAGTCAGGGACACTGTGTGGCCTAGCATGTGGCTGTGCAGATTCTTGGGTCATATCTACAGTTTCCCTTTCTTACTCTACTGCATTCTTTTTTTTCTTTTCTTTCTTTAAAGATGGGTTCTTGCTCTTGCTCTGTCACCAAGGCTAGAGTGCAGTGGTGCAATCCTAACTCATTGTAGTCTCAAATTCATGGCCTCAAGTGATCCTCCCACCTCAGCCTCCTGAGTTGTTATTACAGGCATGAACCGCTGTGCCTGGCTCTATTGAATTCTTGATAAAGGGGAGGGAAACTGGTTCCCAGGGAGGCATGCACTGGAAACGTCTGGCAGCACTTACCACAGTGCTCCATGTGCAATAAGGCCTGGACCAGGACCAGGAAAATGCAGAGCAGGCTTATGATGCCTACCTCCCTTCCTGGCCCTTCTCTCTACTTCCCTTTCCTCTTTATTCAGAACACCGTCCTACTACTTCCACCTGACAGAAAAGCAGACCTGAGTGATCACCACGTGTTGTTCAGAACCCCTGTCCACTCCAGTGGGGATGGTACAGGCTCAAGAGGCTGAAGAAGAGACCCAGAACCAGCAGAAAAGACCTGAAGTTTATTGGGGACTTGCATACAGGGGAGAGAGTCCAGTAGCAGAGGGCTGGACAGGAGAACTACAACCACTTGCGAAAGGCGTGTAATTTATATAGCATTTTCATGTAACATCCTCCCTCTAACAACCTCCACCTGGTAACCTTCATTTAACCTAAAACAAAAGGCCTCCCTCCCCCATATGGCCAGTGTTCCACAGCGTTCCCTGGGAAGCCCCAGGGGCTCAAATGTTCCTCATAGAAGAGCAATGGATCTCCAGGTTGGCCACTCCCAGATTCCTTAGTTGCAGACTCTGAACACACATTCAGGTGGATCTGCCGTACAAGATCACTCTCAGGGTATGCTCAAGTCATTGCTGTCAACTGCGTCTGTCATACACAATCGCCACAGTGGTGAAAACAGTCTATGGCCAGACCTTGATCCACCCAGTATGCATTCTAGAAGATGCATCTTAAAGATCAGTATCATAATGCAGATCGTATTTTCTCATAGGAACAATTATTATAACCATTTGTGTCTTACTGTCCTCCTTCTTTCAGGAGGAAGAGAATTAACTGCTGTAATTTCAGCTCTCAGTGACATACAACAGTGATTCTCCAACTTTAGCGTGCATGACAGTTCCCTGGAGGGTTGTCAGAACTCAGACTGCTGGGCCCCACTTACAGAGCTTCCAATTCAGTAGGTCTTGGTTGAGTCCCAAGACTCTGCGGTTCTAAAATGTTCCCAGGTGATGTGATACTCCTCGTCCAGAGACCACACTTTGGATCCTGTGCTGTATGGATGGCTCTCACTGTTACAATTGAAGCTCAGATTTATTTCAGGTGCTTCAGAATTTCATTTCCAACGGTCTCTAGACCACTGCTTCTCAAACTTCAGTATTCATTTGAATCATCTGGAGATCTTGTTAAAGTGCAGAGTCTGATTCAGTTGGTCTCAAGTGGGGTGCAAGAGTCTGTAGTTCTAACAGGCTCCCCGGCGATGCTGGTGCTGCTGATTTCTCACTACACATTGAGCAGCAAGACTTTAGTCATTGCCATCCACAATCCCAACAAGCACAGAATCCCTTGGTAGTCAAATCTCGAATTCATATTCTCTTCTCCTACCATTTCTGTAGCAAAGTAGGCCGTGTTATGCTGCAGTAACAAACATCTCTAAAATCTTAGTGATGGACAACTGCAGAGGTTTATTTCTTGTGCGCACTATATAGCTATCTGTTGCAAGTCAGCTTAGTATCTAGTAGATGAGTTACTAAATAATGACTCATATAATTATTTACTTAGTGTTGTAACAGGGCTCTGAGAGAAAAGAGTATAGAATTAATCTTTAATAGGAGTTTTGGGCATTGGGGAGGGAAGATCTTTCAGGGCTGGAGAACCTTCCAGGGAGTCCCTTGGATCCTGCTAATGAATGCAAGTGACCACTCTTGCTGCCACAGCATAAGGCAAAACTAAACCAACATGAGTGGTCGGTTGTGGCTCACGTCAGCCTTGTGAGACCCTGAGAGAGAACCTAGCTCTGCCTTGGCCCAGAATTCTGATCTACAGAAACTGTGAGATGATAAATGGATATTGTTTTAAGCCACTGAGTTTGTGGTAATTTGTAACACAGCAATAGAAAACTAATAGGGATTCTCTCAATTCCCTTGTTGCTGAACTCTAAGGTAATGAATTTTTAAAAACTTTTTGTGGGTACATAGTAGGCATATGTATTTATGGGGTTCATGAAATGATTCGATACAGGCATGCTATACATAATAACCACATCACGGGGAATGGGGTATCCATCCCCTCAAATATTTATCCTTTGTGTTGCAAGCAACCCAATTATACTCTTAACGTTTGTTTGTTTTTTTGGGACGGAATCTTGCTCTGTCACCCAGGCTGGAGTGCAGTGGCGCTACCTTGGCTCACGGCAACTTCAGCCTCCTAGCTTCAAGCAATTCTCCTGCCTCAGCCTCCTGAGTAGCTGGGATTATAGGCACACGCCACCACACCAAGCTAATTTTTCTATTTTTTAGAAGAGATGAGGTTTCACTATGTTGGTCAGGCTGGTCTTGAACTCCTGAACTCGTGATCCGCCCGCCTCGGCCTCCCAAAGTGCTGGAATTACAGGCATGAGCCACAGCACCCGGCCTACTCTTCGTTATTTTAAAATGTGCAATTATTATTGACTACAGTCACCCTGTTATGCTATCAAATAGTAGGCCTTATTCATTCTTTCTAACTACTATTTTCTTACCCATTAACCATCCCCACCTCCCCGCCTCAGCTCCCCCACTACCCTTCCCAGCCTTTGGTAACCATCCTTCTACTCTGTATGTCAATGATTTCAATTATTTTAATTTTTAGATCCCATAAATAAGTGAGAACATGCAATGTTTGCCTTTCTGTGCCTGGCTTATTTCACGTAACATAACAATCTCCAGTTCTATCCATGTTGAATTTTTTTTTTTAATAAGACCACAGGCCATAGACCACAATGTGCCCTTCAGTTCCTCCACCTTCACCCTTCCATCTATCCTGGCAGAAGCCGGATAAAGGATTCATTGACAGCCCTGATTGACAATGGTGACCCCCAATTTCAAATTTCCTTTCTCACTTTGGCAATGAGGAAACAGGTCTCTTGCATTCTCTAATACTAGGACATTTCAACATTTCAGCCTTGACCCACAGAAAAAAGGATATTTTACTTTACCACCCAGTTTCACAAAACAGTATTCTTACCATGTGCGCTGCATTCTGACATTTTTCTTCTAGTCTATGCTGTGCTGTGGTCATCACCCACTGAACTGATCTTAAGATGCACTAGTGGTCACACCTTGCAGTTCAGAAGCACCTTTCTCATTGATTTATTACATGCTCATGACACAAAACACATTATAAAATATTTGCAAAGCATCTCAGCTTTTCTTGTCTCCCCTTGTTGTATTTTACATAAATAACCTTTGAGCAAAAGAATGGCCCAGTTCTTACAGCACTTCTTATAGTCTAGAATTTGTCAAGCCCATCCTCTTCCAGTTGATGGAAGGATTCTCACATGGAAAATGGCCAAGAAGCCCCCACCCTGGCTTGCTCAACTATTCATTTACTTTTACAGCAGGTGAGCATAGAGGAAGTATGTTATTTCTAGTTCTCAAACGTAAAAAACAATATTCAGTGATACATTAATAATCCAGCCCCAGGATGTAGACCTGGACCCATTCCTTTATTCACTGTCCAGAGTCCTTTTTGCAGACCCTACATGTAAGAGCCACACTACACGTCATTTATAAGAGTTGTATGTCAAAATAAAATTGTAGAAAGTGTTGAGTTGACATGAACAAGTGTTTTTTGGCCTGAGGCCACCTCACCTCACCTCACCTGGGAGAGATGAGAAAACAAGAGTGTTAACAATTTTAACCATGGGTGACTCCAAAACTCTCGCCCGAGCTGCAGAGGTAACCTTTTGTAAACCACGCATCTGATGCCTTGATGGGCACCACCCCAAGGAAGACTATCATTCGGGGAATTCCTGGGAGGTCTCCCACTGATGTCCCACCAGTCTAACCCTGAGTAGTTTGCAGGAGCAGAAGAGAAGCACCCGGAGGGTGGAGAACTATAGCTGAGGGGCCATAAGTACAGCAGGCTTTCTGCTGCCTTCACACTTTCCCTATTTTCTCCAGCATTTCTCGTGCTGCTAAGACCTGACAGTGAAATGATCTCTGTGTGTGTGTGTGTCTGTGTGTGTCTGTGTGTGTGTGTGTGTCTGTGTGTGTGTGTATTTGCATGGAATCAATATGTACCTGCACATAGAGAAAAAATTAATCTTAAGTTTTTCAACTTCAGGGAAGATGATTTATGGTCATTGGCTGCCTGGTAGGTTTTATTCTATCTAGGAAGTCTGAGTTCTGTATTCCTCCATAAGGGGGAGAGAGAGAGACAGAGAGCGCGTTTCTACTATCCTCCCTCTCGTTTTCTTGTCTTTATTTGAACTTGTACTTTAAAGGGAAATAGTGCCTTCCTGTGCATAAAGCAGGCATCTAAAACTGATTCTCTTTCCTTTCATTGTTTATACAATCTGAAAAATTAGATGGAGAAGGAAGGTTAGTGAACCTTCTTGGCCGTTCCTCCATCTCTGAGTGAATGCACATGCCCAGCACAGTCCTCCGCTCAGCACTTTCTCCATAAGGATTTTCTAAGGCATGGAGCAGTCATCAAATTTGTTAATAATTTGTTCACATTAAACTAAGCAAAAAAGCCTAGCGGCAGTGATCTTAGGACTTAAGCTAATTATTTAGATGCATGAGAGATCCAGATTATTAGTGGGCATAAATATGTTCAGGATTTTAATAAAACATATTAATTTGTGAGGGTTGTCAAGAGCAGAAACTTTGGACTTGGGCCTACTTGGATTTGAATTTCACATTTTCTACTCATTAGCTCTGCTAATCCAAATGCGAGAAAAACGAATTCATCTATGTCTTCTAAGTTTGAGAATCTTCTATCTTTTTCTCGGTATCTACTGGAGAATTAACTTGGTAATCCACTGACCCACTCTAACCAAACCAACTTGTCAAGTTACCCACTTGGGGGAAGGCAGTTAAACTTTCTAAGCCCGTGTTTTCTTGTCTTTAAAATAGGGATAACAAATAATTCCTATCTCAAAGGGTTATTGTGAGGATTAAATGAGAAAAAGCAGGCGAGGGTCATGTGACTGACTAGAAAAGTTCATTATTAGTCAGTGTTGTCTGACTGCTTTAGCAAAAAGTCCCCAAATCTCAAAGGCTTAACAGAAGAGATTTTTTTTCTTGTTCACATAAGGTCTGCTCCAGTGTTTTTGGTTGCCATTCTTCCACATGGTAGTTCAGGGTCCAGGCTTCTTCCATCTTGGGGCACCCAACTCCTCTAATTCCTCAGCCATTGAATTGGAAAAGAGAATGCAGGAAGGTTTTATGGGCTGGGCTTGGAAATGGCCTATGTCACCTCACCTTCATTCAGTCTTCTGGTCATTCCTAGCTGCAAAGGAGACTGGGGAATTTAACCCACCTCTATGCCTGGAAGGAAGAAGTAACAGATTTGGTGAGCATTTGGCCAGTCCACCAGAGTGAGTCACTTGGTTTGGCTAAAATGAGCTCTTTCTCTGTGGAAATGTATTGTCTTTCCAAAAACTCATAGGGATTTTCCAGACTAATACCCCATTTCTCTAGCTGTCCAGGGAAAGACAAGAAAGACTTTGAAATCTAACAGCTGAATTTTTATTGCACTTGGGTATAAATAGATGTATCTATGTATGTATGCGATATTTCAAAATTTCTTTTAACTACAGTGAGTTTATACTTTTTCCCTATAAAATGTTTTACCATAACGATAAGGTGTCAAGTTATTGTCCAGTATTTTAAAATGCCAAACAAAGTAATCATGTGACTGATCTCAGAGCATACCTTGGGTAAATTACTTGGTGCTAGTGGCAGGTCTAGAAATTGCAAAGGAAAAGCAAACGAAGGAACACAGAGCCAAACTCCCAAGTGTTTCTTAAGTCCATGCCCAGAAAATGTCATAGCATTGCTCAATCAGAATTGCTGAATCTTCCTGAAAGATTTGGCCATGATTAGTGCTGCTAAGTTCTGTTGTCAAGGGCCATATGACAGATAACATAATGCAATAAAGTAATTCTGGCCCTAATGTAAAATGAAATGTCTATTTTGAAATATTGCTATGAAGTTGGGTTTTTCTTAATACAAAGGCATGAAGAAAATATTCTGTTGAGTAACTACTGTTAATTATATGTGCACAGCAAGGATTTTTAATGGGTTTTTAAATATCGGTTTCATTGATCTTGGAAGTAGAAAAAAGCTACAAGAGAAGTAAAAGGTAAAAAAGTTAGGCCGGGCACGGTGGCTCAAGCCTGTAATCCCAGCACTTTGGGAGTCCGAGGCGGGCGGATCGCGAGGTCAGGAGATCGAGACCATCCTGGCTAACACAGTGAAACCCGTCTCTACTAAAAATACAAAAATTTAGCCAGGCATAGTGGCGGGTGCCTGTAGTCCCAGCTACTCAGGAGGCTGAGGCAGGAGAATGGCATGAACCCGGGAGGTGGAGCTTGCAGTGAGCCGAGATTGCGCCACTGCACTCCAGCCTGGGCAACAGAGCCAGACTCCGTCTCAAAAAAAAAAAAAAAGGTTTCATTCTTTGTATCACGCTTAGTTATGTTTCAGTTTAGCCATTTAGCCGTGGTATTTCCCAGTGGTCTGGATTGACAGTTTCAGGAAGGAGTAGCACCTTAGAATCTAAACCAGTGACTCACTTTATGAGCTTTTCCAAATTACCTCGATAGTCTCACTTCATAAATATGCGTAAGTTTCTGCTCTGTTAATAGTGCTGAATGGGCCGGGCGCGGTGGCTCACGCCTGTAATCCCAGCACTTTGGGAGGCCGAGGCGGGCGGATCACGAGGTCAGGAGATCGAGACCATCCCGGCTAAAATGGTGAAACCCCGTCTCTACTAAAAATACAAAAAATTAGCCGGGCGTAGTGGCGGGCGCCTGTAGTCCCAGCTACTTGGGAGGCTGAGGCAGGAGAATGGCGTGAACCCGGGAGGCGGAGCTTGCAGTGAGCCGAGATCCCGCCACTGCACTCCAGCCTGGGCGACAGAGCGAGACTCCGTCTCAAAAAAAAAAAAAAAAAAAATAGTGCTGAATGGGTTGGCTCTCTTCACTACCAACACAAAAGCACCCAAAGGCAATATATGCTTTTAATTTCTGGAGAAGTGTATTAGTTTAAGTTCAACTAAAATATCTGCTTAAATATAATTTATGTAGTATAGGTAAAAACCAATTGCATTCTGATACTTACAAGATTGCTTTTATGTAAACAGCAGCTTTCTGAGTAGCAGAAGGTGGAGAAGTGAGGCAAAAAGAAGGCTTTTTTCCTTTTCCTATGAGCCTTCCAATGGCAAGAGAATTACCTTGGTAATTACATGGTGGCTAGCATGTGACGGCTACTGCCCGTGCTGGATGTAGATGCTGGTTAACACACAATAAAACACCAAGGAAGGAAGGAGAGGCAGGGGTTTGTGTGATATCATCAGGGTTTGCTTGAGTTGACAGCCTGAAGCTACCCAGTCAGGGCTGAATCCCAACAGGAAAGCTAATCATTAGTTTATCAGGATGCAGAGAGGGAGGTAATCAGAAAAGAGAGTAATTCTGTCATTCTTCTGCCCAGACTGTTTGCTTTAGCAACATAAAGCTGTGGGTGAGCCTGTGAGCTGTGACTATGAGTTGGTAGCTTTATAGGTATTTAGAAACCCAGGACTGTGGAGGCAGAAGGGATTTGCTAAGATCCTGTCCTGTTGGAACATCACTCATGGTGACCTTTTTTTTTTTTTAATCTGATAAGGCACATTAGCTCATCTCTCTTTGTATAAGACATGAATTAGATAATGAATGGCTGCCCAAAGGAAGTGAGGTGGTTATCACACCCTGGGGATTCAAGAGATTATCTGAGGGGTAAAGGTTAATAAAGAAGGATAATATCCTTTGTTTGATCAACTGTTCCATACTAAGTTCGTTAGAATTCCAGACTGCCTTGATGGCAAATGCTACATAAATGATAAAACTGTGTATGTACTAATATTTGACTAGGGAATTTTTTATTCTCCATTTAGTTAAATATTGAGGTCACTTTGTGTTTTTAATAAAATAATTATCAACGATCTATCATTTTACACTGTGAAGCTCAATATTTGCTTGCTTAGCCACCATCAATCTGATATAAAAAGTGTAAGAGTTGCAAGTTTTTCTCTCATGACCTGAATCAAAAAGTAATTTAGAAAGAGGTCACTGTGTCATTCAACAAATCTTTTTAAAAGCCAAACATATTTTGACCTTTTATTTGGATTTGCTACTTGTTAATTGTTTCAGCAGCCTTAACTTAGATCCTCTTTGCAGAACATAGCTTCTGTCATCTGTACAAAGCTGTATATGTGAAAATTGAAGGCAAGGAGAAGGTAATTCCAGCTGGCATTCCAGTCTGGATCTGCTGTCATAAATTACTTAGCAGAGGGCATGGTTCGTTACTTTTTATGGTCATGTTCTATATTTGTATGTGCTGGGGGGTGGATCACATGACAAAACCATCATTTGATATTAGTGTTTATGTGCACCAACCAGTGAGGGCTCGATTGAAGCTTCACTGTGCAGTACTTTTAATTTGTATATTTAGCTCTTAATTGAAAATGCAGGCACTTCCATAAGTACTAAAACTACAAATAATCTAAATAAATTTTATATAATTGTCTTTAGGAGAAGACAAACTGCTGTAAACCAAGCTAATTGAAATACACTCTGCCTTCCAGAGATTTGAAAACAAAATTTTGAACTAGCTAGTCAACATTGCCAGAATAATAAAGACCAAAGTTTACCATTTTCCATTTTTTAGCCCCTCCCCTGATTAGCTGATGTCTGTTTATTTAAGAGGAAAGACATTTTTCAAACTAATCAAGACAGAGGAAAAAAACAGTCTTTTTTTTTTTTTTTTTTTTTTTTTGTTCTATTCTCCAAATCCGTTCCCCTAGTGCAGCTTCATGCTTAAGTTTATAGTGGCAAACACCTCGAAAATGTCCTTCTTGTTTGATATTTTTTTCCCATAACTAAACAGGAAAAAAAAAATGGGCATGTCAGGTTTTGGTTCATCCACTGCTTTGAGAACTAGTGTTTCCATATCTGGAATCGTTTGTTAGATAAATTTGCCTGTAAGTAGTTGCTTCAGATCTTTGTCAGGCCTTGTTCATCTTACATACTGCAGCCCTCTTTAATTTCCTCAACTCCATTAATTTATTTTTCAGGCTTTTCTTTCACTAAGTATTTATCGCATGCCTACTCTATAGTAGTCAGAGCACTTAGCACGTCTGCATCTATTATTTCATTTGTATGAGAACATACTTTGGAAAATAAGGTCGGGATGATGTTATTTGAACTTCCTCAGCACCTATGTAGTAGTCTCTGTCAAACAACAAGTAACTTCTGAAATAACTGTTATTTTAGAAACACTTCTACTGTTATTTTTTTGTGCATATTTTCCATCCCCTCAACAAGATTTGCAGAGCCTCAGGGATCTTTAGAGTTGATATCTCTTTGCTTTTCTGACATATTGTGGTCTTCACAATATTTTTTATTAGATGCCAAGTTTGATGAGAAGAGAGGCTCGGGTTCCGAGTCACTTGTTTTGTTTGAGGAATAAAAGCTAGGTTCGGCCAGGCACAGTAACTCACACCTGCAATCCCAGCACTTTGGGAGGCCGAGGCGGGCGGATCACAAGGTCAGGAGTTTGAGACCAGCCTGACCAACATAGTGAAACCCCGTCTCTACTAAAAATACAAAAATTAGCTGGATGTGGTGACGTGCGCCTGTAATCCCAGCTACTCAGGAGGCTGAGGCAGGAGAATCACTTGAACCTGGGAGGCGGAGGTTGCAGTGAGCTGAGATCGCACCACTGCACTTCAGCCTGCGCAGCAGAGCAAGACTCCATCTCAAAAAAAAAAAAAAAGAAAGAAAAGCTAGGTTCATGGATTACAGTGGTTCAGGGAAGGGAACTGAGTGAAGGAGGGACATTGTCGTTTGGTGATGCTGTTATCTTTTACTGAAAAGGAACTTGATATTTGGAGGTGTATTTGGTAAGGACTTAGTTATCAATTGACAGCATAACTGGTAACATGTAAGTCCTGGATCAGCCTTGAAAGAGTATTCCTTATGGGAAATGGGAAGATTAGAGAAGAACAAGCGAGATAGTGTTGGTGAGGCATTTCATTTCAAAGGTTTGTTTCTCTTACACCCCCTTTTACTAAATGAATGCCTTGGAAGGGACCACGGAATGGTTCATTTCTAGATGTGTGGCGCTAACGATGAGAAATGACGGCAACCAGATTTGGGTGACAGATGTCGCTCAAGCCTTCAATGATTATAGAATATAGGTTCTGGGAAGAATGTGCTGATTAAATTCACATGGGCTGTGGAGATCCAGCTGGCCTGATATTTAAATGCTGCTGAAAAATGTTCCAATTAGATGGATTCTTCCCTGTGCAGAGTTTTCATGTAAATTGTGGAAAACGGTACTTTCTTCAGGCAATGAAATTGTTGTGAATGTCCAATGTCAGTCCTCTGAAGATGGTAATTATGCAGCTTGAACTACAGAAACTGCAGCGCAGAAGAACTTCAGGGTTTATCCTGTCTCTGTGCAGATGGAATCTCTATATAGAATAATGACCAACACATCACACAAATTGGATTTAAATGACTTGAACAACAGGAGTCCCATCATTTTCTTTGGCTGAATATCCTATAGTTGAATGTGTACAGGATTCCTCTTGGATAGTCATAATTGGATTATATTTCCCATACGAGCAGGGTTGTAATTTGAAGCTTCATATTTTACCAGCTTGACAGCAAATTAAGCACAGACAGGACAAACTATACATCATACAAACCAAGATACAACTAAAATCTTTCTGATTATTTAAAATGGGAAAATGTGGCTCCATGTCCTGTAAAGTGGTTAAAATACAGTGTTTACGTTGATTATAAGAGTTGCTAATGAATTCTAACTGCAGTACAGCTCATAAAAAAGTCTATATCATAACTTACCTATCTGAAGCTGATGATGGATGGCCATAGTAAATAATCATCAATAATAATTTTATTTGACTCTTTAGAATTTGAAATGTCTTTTCATAGAAAAGCACTGGACCACCCATATTTTTAAAATGTTTTTTGTGATTAAGTGAGAGCTCTTGTCTTTTCCTCTCTTGACAGCATTTCTCTGGCCTGGACAGATATGTTCAAAATCATTCTGTAATTCTCTAATACCACGCTTGAGATTGGATTATCTTTTTCAGAAGTAACAATCAAAGAATCACAGCATTCTGAGGCTGTACCCAGGAGTGCACTGGGGAGGGCTCCCTTGGCACTGGTCTTTTCATTCAACTTTTCTTTGTTCTGCCATCTCCCAAGGCTTAAATGGGAAAAGGAGAAAGACGAGAACAACGGGAAGTATGTGAGGAGAGAGGATAGAGAAAGATAATCCTATCCCTGTGGCTTGTCAGTTAGAATGAGGGAGGGAGTTGTGAGCTGATCATGTGGCTATGCACCTTAGAACTTTTTCCCACAATACTTCTCTGAACTGCTTTGGTCTTATTTTCTTACTTCTTTTTTTTTTTTTTTTTTTTTTTTTGAGATGGAATCTCGCTCTGCTGCCCAGGCTGGAGTGCAGTGGCGCAATCTCGGCTCACTGCAACCTCTGCCTCTCGGGTTCAAGTGATCCTCCTGCCTCAGCCTCCCGAGTAGCTGGGACTACAGGTGTGTAGCCACTCCCAGCTAATTTTTTGTATTTTTAGTAGAGACGGGGTTTCACCATGTTGGCCAGAATGGTCTCAATCTCCTGACCTCAGGTGATCTGCCCGGCCTTTCGGCCTCCCAAAGTGCTGGGATTACAGGCGTGAGCCACCGTGCCCGGCCTTATTTTCTTCTTTCTTTCTCCATCTTTTGCAGCCTCCAAGGCAGGGAAGCTGAAGTGTAGGTGTTAATTAGTAGCAAGGCAGTAATGAAAAGAGTGTAACTGTGAGATGCAGGGCTGCCTGCGCTGTTACAGCATGTCATCCGGCCACTTTCATTTCCTTGACTTATTTTTGCACCTTTATTTTGAGTCAGGTTACCCTAAACTTAGTTGTTTCCTTTACATTGACTATCTGTGTCCAGTGCTCATAACGAGTGCTCAACAGGAGACAAAATGAATAAACCATCCAAAACCAGCCAGACCCCAGATATTTAAGATGATTAAGATCTTTTCCCAAGATCACTTATTAAATGAGTCTCTGAAAACCTCCTCTTGTCTTTCTGTCTGTGGAAAGTCAACCCTAATTACTTTTTACAGTAAGAGAAACTCAAGGAGTCTGGAAGAGGGTTTCCTCCCCATATTTAGGGGATGCACAGAGGAGATTCATACTTAACAAGATCATCATTGAAACCTCCCCATAATTATGTCCTGACCTATCGATTGCTTGTGAAAAAACTATTGTTCCCATGTATATAAGGAATAGCATAGATCTTTGTGATTAATTTTGGGGGAAGATCTATTTTTCTTGAAAAGAAACTGTGATTTAAATGTAATCCTGTCATTTAGGTTGTTTCATGTAACTGTTAGTTTCTTCTTAATGATTACAATTTTTAACTTTGCTTCTGTTCTTTGTTTAGTTGTTCAGGTATGTCCTAAACAGAGTTTTAACTTATATAATTACTAACTTTACTTCTTGCATTTTCCACTTTTCATATATATGAAATATATATAATATATATAAATATATTAATTATATATCATTAATAATAATTATGTATAATATATAAAATTTTATGTTGCTTGGGTCATAAACATTTACTCTTTTAGATAGGCTGTATCTATTGCAATCCTATAATGACCCCTCGGTTGCTTTTTTTCCTTGAGACAAGGTCTTGCTCTGTTACCCAAGCTGGAGTGCAGTAGCGTGATCTTAGCTAACTGCAACCACCGCCTCCCAGGCTCAAATGATCCTCCCGCCTCAGCCTCTCGAGTAGCTGGGACCACAGACGTGCACCACTACACCTACTTTTTTTTTTTTTTTTTTTTGTATTTTTAGTAGAGACAGGGTCTCACTAGGTTGGCCAGGCTGGTCTCAAACTCCTGAGCTTAAGCAATCCACCCGCCTCAGCCTCTCAAAGTGCTGAGATTACAGGCGTGAGTCACCGCACTGGGCCTCTCAATTACTTTTTATTCAGAATACTTTTTTAATCTGATAACATTATAAATATCCCTTTTCGTGTTGTTGTGACCTCCTACCTTCCCTAGGACCTTATCTAATCAATCATTTCCTTCTTTCTCTCCCTACTGGATCCTTCTGTTTAGTCTACAAGCCAAATGAGTTTTCTCTGTTTAAAAAAACCAAACCAAACAAAACAAAAACAACTTCCTTCACTGCCTAAAATGTCTCTGTCCTCCTCTTTACTGCCAGCCTTCTTAGGAACACTCTGTCCTCCCTGATGTCATGTCCTCACTTCCCTGTCACTTTTTAATCTCCTGTCCTCTGTCTTTCCTCCTTATCATTTGACCAAAAAAGACTTTCCCAGTGCCCTGCTTGCTTCTTAATTGTCCTCATTCCATTCAGCCTCCTTGAAGAATTTTTACTGCTGACCATCACCCTCCTCAAAGTTTTTCCTTCTCTTGGGTAATAACACTATGCTTTCTGTCTGTTTTACTTCATTTCTTGCTCTGACTTCTCTTCTTCCCTCTATCCCTTAAGTGTACATATTCCTTTAAGATTCATTCTATGTCATCAGAAGAGGACTTTCTCAAACCTGGTCTCTCCCCTGTCAGTTTCATCCGTTCCCATGGTGGGGTCCGTCACTCATCTGCTGGTGGTGCCCACTGTACGTCTCCAGCTGAAGGCTCTTGCTCCACGGCCCTGGGCATGGGTGTCCTCCAGGAGCTCAAATGCAGTGCGTCTGTACCACACACACACCTGTACGTGTGTGTACACACACGTCTGTACCACACACACCTCCTCCAAATGCTGGGCTCCCTCATTCTTTCTCCCAGTTGATGGAACCTCAAGCCACACTGTCTCTTGAACCAGAACTCCTAAGTCCTTGTGACCCCTCCTTTCCTCCACGCCTCACATCCAGCTGATCTCTGAGTCCTGATGATGCCCTAACCAGGAGAATCTATGGGATGTGAAAACTTCACTTCATTCCCATTTGCTCTAATTTGGAAAGGAAGGGAGGATGAGAGTGAAGAAGAGGAGAAGGGAGGACGGAAGTAAAAATGAAAGAAGGAAAAGAGGCAAGGAGGAAGGAAAAAAGGAGGGAAAAAAGGAAGGGGTAGAAGAGAGAAAGGAAGAAGAGAAAAAGATCTGCTTTTTAATTTTTTTTTTTTTTTTTTTTTTGAGACAGAGTCTCACTTTGTCGCCCAGGCTAGAGTGCAGTGGCACGATCTCGGCTCACTGCCAGCTCCGCCTGCCGGGTTCACGCCATTCTCCTGCCTCAGCCTCCCGAGTAGCTGGGACTACAGTCACCCGCCACCACACCCGGCTAATTTTTTGTATTTTTTTTTAGTAGACATGGGGTTTCACCATGTTAGCCAGGATGATCTCGATCTCCTGACCTCGTGATCCGCCCACCTCGGCCTCCCAAAGTGCTGGGATTACAGGTGTGAGCCACCGCGCCCAGCTTAATTTTTTTAATATAAGGGTATTACAAGCTTGCTTTTTAAAAATCTGTGAAATGAAGAAAAGAGAAGAAAAACAATCCCACCACTCTCTGACAGACACTACAGTATGGCCTCTTCAACCAGTCTCTGTCTCAAAGCTTCCGCTCCTCCAGCCTGTCTTCCATTCTTATCATCGTAACTGTTGCTACAAAACAAACCAAACAAGCAGAAAACAAAGCAAATCAGGAATGCTGCCATAATCCGTTGCCTATGCAATCAGTTCCAGACTACAGAGGATGACAGTCAAGGCCCTTTGCAACTTATTTCAGCCTCTGAGTCCTCTCCTCCAAAACTTCTCCCCCACAGCAAATCCATTATCCCAATCACATTGGACAACACAAGTGCTATGAACATGTATAATGTGACTATGCAAGGGCCCAAAATGTCCATCCTTCTCTTCCTAATCTGTATATTTTTCATTTTAACAGGTGTAGTGTATTCCATAATTTGATTAGCTAGGCTTGGAGACACCAAGAACTGCTTTCTCTAAAGCTCAAAGGCCAACGAGGGCAAAAGATAAACCTAAACCTGGTATATTGTAATAAGGGCATTGTAATAAGTATTGAGCTGTTGGGGGGCCCTAGGTAGCAGTCCTGAACACTGCATAGGGATTGGGGAGTTGGAGAAGAGGTCACAAGGAAGGGGCCCCTTGAACTGGGACTTGCAAGAGAAGCAGGATTCATGCATGAGAAATTGCGCCTGACAAATGGAAGCGCCTGAAGTGTCTTTGCTCTGGTATTCACACAAACAGATTCAATCTCAGTCCATTCTCCCCCACCCCATCTGCCAAGATGACTTGGTGCTAAATGTGGTTTTTTTGGTTTTTTTTTTTTTTTTTTTGAGACAGAGTTTGCTCTTTTTGCCCAGGCTGGAGTGCAATGGCACAATCTCGGCTCACTGCAACCTCCGCCTCCTGATTTCAAGTGATTCTCCTGCCTCAGCCTCCTGCCTGAGTAGCTGGGATTACAGGTGCACACCACCACACCTGGCTAATTTTGTATTTTTTTTTTTTTTTTTTTTTTTTTTAGTAGAGACAGGGTTTCACCGTGTTGGCCAGGCTGGTCTAGAACTCCTGACCTCAGGTGACCTCGGCTTCTCAAAGTGCTGGGATTACAGGTGTGAGCCACTGCACCCAGCATAAATATGTATGTTTTTTAAACAAGATTGTTGAATTTTATTTTTTAATCCAGTCAATTACTTTCTAATTCTTTTTAATAAGCAAGTTTAGGCTGTTCACATGTGCTTTTTGATATGTTATTTGTCCTGAAGCCCAAGTAAATGTATGTTTATTGTAGTCGTTCTTGCTTTTTCTTTTAATTTCTGTGGTTTTTATGGCAGATTTTAAACTCTATCTCTTTCTGAACTTGGCCAAAGGATAACCTTAAGTAGGCTGATGTTAACATTTTAACAATAATATATTCCAGAAAAACCATTTTAACTGCTTCTATTTATTTCAATTAACTAAGTAAACTTGGATTCTTTTCTAGGAAACAAAAAAAACTTTTGTTCATCTTCAGCTGTTCATTATTTGTAATTATTATCTGAGATCCTTTTTGAGATTCTGCTAATACCTGATAGTTCCAAGAATTTACTTGCTAATTTACTAACCATTTCCATTATATTCTATTAATCTTTGCATAACATTCTGATTCATTTGTTTCTCAAGTATGTCCTTATAAATCTCTGTCTAGTTTTGTTTCCTACAGTGGCAAAATGGATACATTTCTATGTGACACACTTTTCATATTTTTAATTGGTCAATTTTTCTAAGTCTGAAAATATCCTTCTCTGCCTTCAAAGAGCAAAATGACCCTGGGCAAGTACCTTCTCTTGGCCTTGTCATAGCTTTTCCACCCCATCCTCCCCTCCTCCAAAGTCTAAGGAGAGAAATCTAATTAGTATTCCATGTCATTAAATACCAGCTCTCTTTACCTGTGATCACTTTAAAGCTTTGCCTTGGCCTTTCTATTTCTTTAAGGTGACAGACATGCATATGTAGGGGAGTTCGGGCATGGGAAGTCACCCACCACTGAGTGAGTGGCTTTCTCTGGATTCTCATGATGTTCGTGCCAAAATTCTATTTCAGTTCAATAAATTTTCTGTTATCTCTGTTCCTAATTTTATACTCATCACGATCCTTTCCTTTCTGTCCTTCAAAGCTTGAGCTTCCTTATTCTGTTTTGTAGGTGTATTCGTCAGCTAGGGCTGCTGGAACAAAATAACACAAAGTTAGTGGCTTAAACAACAGAAGCCTATTCTTTCATAGTTCTGGAGGTTAGAAGTCAAGGCGTAGGCTGGGCGCGGTGGCTCACGCCTGTAATCCCAGCACATGATCTGGCCGAGGTGGGAGATCGAGACCATCCTGGCCAACATGGTGAAACCCCGTCTCTACTAAAAATACAAAAAATTAGCCGGGCATGGTGGCGTGCGCCTGTAGTCCCAGCTACTCGGGAGGCTGAGGCAGGAGAATCGCTTGAACCTGGGAGGCAGAAGTTGCAGTAAGCCGAGATCGCGCCACTGCACTGCAGCCTGGTGAGAGAGCGAGACTCCATCTCAAAAAAAAAAAAAAAAAAAAAAAAAAAAAAAAGTCTAGGCATGGGCAAGGCCACGCTCCCTCAGATGGCCCAAGGGAAGAATCTCTTCTGAGACTCCCTCCTGACTTCTTGAGGGTTGCTGGTAATCTGGTGTTTCGTGGCTTGTAAATGCATCATACTCCGTCTTTATGTTCACGTGGTTTCTCCCTGTGTGTCTGTCTCTGTGTCTACATTTCCCCTTTCCATAGGGACACCTAGTCGTACAGGACCAGGGGCCCTCCCTACTGCAGTACGACCTCATCTTAACCAATTACATCTGCAACAACCCTATTTCCAAATAAGGTCACATTCTGAAGTACTTAGGGTAAGGACATCATCATATGAATTAGTGGGGGGACACCACTCAGCCCGTAACACTAGATTTGTCAGGCATTGTTCTATTGTTATTATCTGTGTAATGCAGGCGTCATTTGGGCCAGTTGTTTAGCGTGTCCTGGCTTACGCCATCACATATTCCTCTGTACCAATAACTGCTTCTTCTCTCTCTCTCTTTGGAAGCTTTCATCGTGAGCCCATTCAGACCTGCTCAGGTGGAGAGTTCCAGGCCCATTTGCCCCTTTAAGTTGCAAAAGTGTGTTTTCATAGGAGTCAGGCTGCCAGTTGGTGGGGTTTCATTTATTCGATTTCTTTATTGTTTATGAAGCCTATCATACTGTGTTTGTTGTGTCTTGTTTTCTTATTTTCTAAAATCTTACAGATAACAATACAAGGAGGGATTACCATCTGTAAAACTCCTTCCCAAAAGTGCAGGGTACATAGATAGCATTCAGCAATTTTCTTGATTTCTTTTTTTTCCTCCATTGTTTTCCTGTCTAATTTTTGTGGACAGTCATATGAAAATCTCGGTGACTTCCTGAGACTTCACGTGCACACGTAGAACTGACGTAAAAATGAAGGAGCGGCATTGGTGTGCATTTGGTCACACTCCAGGGAGACATACCCAGATTAGACCAACTCCTCAGGGTGCAGACAAGGTGACGTCAAAGGACACAGTTGGACTGGGATTCATTCTTACAATGGGATAAGGCAGGGCTTAGGCCCCTGTGAGAAAGAACCAAGTACTGGTTCCTAAAGGAAAGGTATGAAAGACGGGAATGCAAACCCTCATGGAGCCCCAGGGCCCCTTGATAGAGAATTCTCACATGCCCAGCTCCACCACTGTGCCACAAAGCCTTCCAGAAGCCCAACCATCAAGGCTGCTGAGAGATTCCTCTCCCCGGCGTGGCTGACAGGGGTGTTTTCCCCGGCATGGCTGACGGGGTTGTTTTCACACCAGGAGCCACCAGCCCACTGCTCAGTGATAAGGAGCACTCATGAACTCTGCACACGAGCACCCTGAAAAAACCCAGAGGAGCTTGCCCTGGATAGAGCCCCATAGGTTCTCTCCTGTGTGCTTCTTGTCTGTTTCTGGTCACTTCTGCTTGGAGTTGTGTGAGTCCAGTGAGAAGAGTCCCAGAGAGCAGAGTGGCAACTGCTACACTCCCAAGCTTATGTCCTTGGTCTGCCAGCCTGAGATGAGAACTATTTTTGCAGACCAAAATGAAAGACCACGGACTCCCTTTTTTGTTTTTTCTTTGCAGACCAAAATCAAAGACGGATGGACTCTATTTTTTTGGCAGACCGAAATCAAAGATGATGGGCTCCATTCATTTCCTTTCCAGAGCTCTTCCCTGATAGCGAAGATGTTGTGGGCAGA